>NC_000013.11:82229122-82381962 GCF_000001405.40 Homo sapiens
TCACTAGGGAGTGCCAGAGAGTGGGTGCAGGTCAGTGGGTGCGTGCACCGTGTGCAAGCCGAAGCAGGGCGAGGCATTGCCTCACTCAGGAAGCACAAGGGGTCAGGGAGTTCCCTTTCCTGGTCAAAGAAAGGGGTGACAGACGGCACCTGGAAAATCGGGTCACTCCCACCCCAATACTGTGCCTTTCCGACAGGCTTAAAAAACAGCGCACCAGGAGATTATATCCCACACCTGGCTCGGAGGGTCCTATGCCCACAGAGTCTTGCTGATTGCTAGCACAGCAGTCTGAGATCAAACTGCAAGGCGGCAGCGAGGCTGGGGGAGGGGCGCCCGCCATTGCCCAGGCTTGCTTAGGTAAACTAAGCAGCCAGGAAGCTCGAACTGGGTGGAGCCCACCACAGCTCAAGGAGGCCTGCCTGCCTCTGTAGGCTCCACCTCTGGGGGCAGGGCACAGACAAACAAAAAGACAGCAGTAACCTCTGCAGACTTAAATGTCCCTGTCTGACAGCTTTGAAGAGAGCAGTGGTTCTCCCAGCACGCAGCTAGAGATCTGAGAACAGGCAGACTGCCTCCTCAAGTGGGTCCCTGACCCCTGACCCCCGAGCAGCCTAATTGGGAGGCACCCCCCAGTAGGGGCAGACTGACACCTCACACGGCCGGGTACTCCTCTGAGACAAAACTTCCAGAGGAACGATCAGACAGCAGCATTCGCGGTTCATGAATATCCGCTGTTCTGCAGCCACCGCTGCTGGTACCCAGGCAAACAGGGTCTGGAGTGGACCTCTAGCAAACTCCAACAGACCTGCAGCTGAGGGTCCTGTCTGTTAGAAGGAAAACTAAGAAACAGAAAGGACATCCACACCAAAAACCCATCAGTACATCACCATCATCAAAGATCAAAAGTAGATAAAACCACAAAGATGGGGAAAAAACACAGAAGAAAAACTAGAAACTCTAAAAAGCAGAGCACCTCCCTCCTCCAAAGGAACGCAGCTCCTCACCAGCAATGGAACAAAGCTGGACGGAGAATGACGAGTTGAGAGAAGAAGGCTTCAGACGATCAAACTACTCCGAGCTACAGGAGGAAATTCAAACCAAAGGCAAAGAAGTTGAAAACTTTGAAAAAAATTTAGATGAATGTATAACTAGAATAACCAATACAGAGAAGTGCTTAAAGGAGCTGATGGAGCTGAAAGCCAAGGCTCGAGAACTACGTGAAGAATGCAGAAGTCTCAGGAGCCGATGCAATCACTGGAAGAAAGGGTATCATTGATGGAAGATGAAATGAATGAAATGAAGCGAGAAGGGAAGTTTAGAGAAAAAAGAATAAAAATAAACGAACAAAGGCTCCAAGAAATATGGGACTATGTGAAAAGATCAAATCTACATCTGATTGGTGTACCTGAAAGTGACAGGAAGAATGGAACCAAGTTGGAAAACACTCTGCAGGATATTATCCAGGAGAACTTCCCCAATCTAGCAAGACAGGCCAACATTCAGATTCAGGAAATACAGAGAACGCCACGAAGATACTCCTTGAGAAGAGCAACTCCAAGACACATAATTGTCAGATTCACCAAAGTTGAAATGAAGGAAAAAATGTTAAGGGCAGCCAGAGAGAAAGGTCGGGTTACCCACAAAGGGAAGCCCATCAGACTAACAGCGGATCTCTCGGCAGAAGCTCTACAAGCCAGAAGAGAGTGGTGGCCAATATTCAACATTCTTAAAGAAAAGAATTTTCAACCCAGAATTTCATATCCGGCCAAACTAAGCTTCATAAGTGAAGGAGAAATAAAATACTTTACAGACAAGCAAATGCTGAGAGATTTTGTCACCACCAGGCCTGCCCTAAAAGAGCTCCTGAAGGAAGCACTAAACATGGAAAGGAACAGCCGGTACCAGCCACTACAAAATCATGCCAAATTGTAAAGACCATCGAGGCTAGGAACAAACTGCATCAACTAGTGAGCAAAATAACCAGCTAACGTCATAATGACAGTATCGAATACACACATAACAATATTAACTTTCAATGTAAAATGGACTAAATGCTCCAATTAAAAGACACAGACTGGCAAATTGGATAAAGAGTCAAGACCCATCAGTGTGCTGTATTCAGGAAACCCATCTCACGTGCAGAGACACACATAGGCTCAAAATAAAAGGATGGAGGAAGATCTACCAAGCAAATGGAAAACAAAAAAAGGCAGGGGTTGCAATCCTAGTCTCGGATAAAACAGACTTTAAACCAACAGAGATCAAAAGAGACAAAGAAGGCCATTACATAATGGTAAAGGGATCAATTCAATAAGAAGAGCTAACTATCCTGAATATATATGCACCCAATACAGGAGCACCCAGATTCATAAAGCAAGTCCTGAGTGACCTACAAAGAGACTTAGACTCCCACACAATAATAATGGGAGACTTTAACACCCCACTGTCAACATTAGACAGATCAACGAGACAGAAAGTTAACAAGGATACGTAGGAATTGAACTCAGCTCTGCACCAAGTGGACCTAATAGACATCTACTGAACTCTCCACCCCAAATCAACAGAATATACATTTTTTTCAGCACCACACCACACCTATTCCAAAATTGACCACATAATTGGAAGTAAAGCTCTCCTCAGCAAGTGTAAAAGATCAGAAATTATAACAAACTGTCTCTCAGACCACAGTGCAATCAAAGTAGAACTCAGGATTAAGAAACTCACTCAAAACCACTCAGCTACATAGAAACTGAGCAACCTGCTCCTGAATGACTACTGGGTACATAACAAAATGAAGGCAGAAATAAAGATGTTCTTTGAAACCAACGAGAACAAAGACACAACATACCAGAATCTCTGGGACACATTCAAGGCAGTGTGTAGAGGGAAATTCATAGCACTAAATGCCCACAAGAGAAAGCAGGAAAGATACAAAATTGACACCCTAACATCACAATTAAAGGAACTACAAACCAAGAGCAAACACATTCAAAAGCTAGCAGAAGGCAAAAAATAACTAAAATCAGAGCAGAACTGAAGGAAATAGAGACACAAAAAACCCTTCAAAAATTAATGAATCCAGGAGCTGGTTTTTGAAAAGATCAACAAAATTGATAGACTGCTAGCAAGACTAATAAAGAAGAAAATAAAGAAGAATCAAATAGACGCAATCAAAAATGATAAAGGGGATATCACCACCCATCCCAAAGAAATACAAATTACCATCAGAGAATAATACAAACACCTCTACGCAAATAAACTAGAAAATCTAGAAGAAATGGATAAATTCCTGGACACATACACCCTCCCAAGACTAAACCAGGAAGAAGTTGAATCTCTGAATAGACCAATAACAGGCTCTAAAATTGTGGCAATAATCAATAGCTTACCAACCAAAAAGAGTCCAGGACCAGATGGATTCACAGCCGAATTCTACCAGAGGTACAAGGAGGAACTGGTACCATTCCTTCTGAAACTATTCCAATCAATAGAAAAAGAGGGAATCCTCCCTAACTCATTTTATGAGGCCAGCATCATCCTGATATCAAAGCCGGGCAGAGACACAACCAAAAAAGAGAATTTTAGACCAATATCCTCGATGAACATTGATGCAAAAATCCTCAATAAAATACTGGCAAACCAAATCCAGCAGCACATCAAAAAGCTTATCCACCATGATCAAGTGGGCTTCATCCCTGGGATGCAAGGCTGGTTCAATATACGCAAATCAATAAATATAATCCAGTATATAAACAGAACCAAAGACAAAAACCACATGATTATCTCAATAGATGCAGAAAAGTCCTTTGACAAAATTCAACAACCCTTCATGCTAAAAACTCTCAATAAATTAGGTATTGATGGGACATATCTCAAAATAATAAGAGCTATCTATGACAAACCCACAGCCAATATCCTATTGAATGGGCAAAAACTGGAAGCATTCCCTTTGAAAACTGGCACAAGACAGGGATGCCCTCTCTCACCACTCCTATTCAACATAGTGTTGGAAGTTCTGGCCAGGGCAATTAGGCAGGAGAAGGAAATAAAGGGTATTCAATTAGGAAAAGAGGAAGTCAAATTGTCCCTGTTTGCAGACAACATGATTGTATATCTAGAAAACCCCACTGTCTCAGCCCAAAATCTCAAGCTGATAAGCAACTTCAGCAAAGTCTCAGGATACAAAATCAGTGTACAAAAATCACAAGCATTCTTATACACCAATAACAGACAAACAGAGAGCCAAATCATGAGTGAACTCCTATTCACAATTGCTTCACAAAGAATAAAATACCTAGGAATCCAACTTACAAGGGACGTGAAGGACCTCTTCAAGGAGAACTACAAACCACTGCTCAATGAAATAAAAGAGGATACAAACAAATGGAAGAACATTCCATGCTCATGGGTAGGAAGAATCAATATCATGAAAATGGCCATACTGCCCAAGGTAATTTATAGATTCAATGCCATCCCCATCAAGCTACCAATGACTTTCTTCACAGAATTAGAAAAAACTACTTTAAAGTTCATGTGGAACCAAAAAAGAGGCTGCATCGCCAAGTCAATCCCAAGCCAAAAGAACAAAGCTGGAGGCATCACGCTACCTGACTTCAAACTATACTACAAGGCTACAGTAACCAAAACAGCATGGTACTGGTACCAAAACAGAGATATAGATCAATGGAACAGAACAAAGCCCTCAGAAATAATGCCGCATATCTACAACTATCTGTTCTTTGACAAACCTGAGAAAAACAAGCAATGGGGAAAGGATTCCCTATTTAATAAATGGTGCTGGGAAAACTGGCTAGCCATATGTAGAAAGCTGAAACTGGATCCCTTCCTTACACCTTATACAAAAATTAATTAAAGATGTATTAAAGACTTAAATGTTAGACCTAAAACCATAAAAACCCTAGAAGAAAACCTAAGCATTGCCATTCAGGACATAGGCACGGGCAAGGACTTCATGTCTAAAACACCAAAAGCAATGGCAACAAAAGCCAAAATTGACAAATGGGATCTAATTAAACTAAAGAGCTTCTGCACAGCAAAAGAAACTACCATCAGAGTGAACAGGCAACCTACAAAATGGGAGAAAATTTTCGCAACCTACTCATCTGACAAAGGGCTAATATCCAGAATCTACAATGAACTCAAACAAATTTACAAGAAAAAAACAAACAACCCCATCAAAAAGTGGGCGAAGGACATGAACAGACACTTCTCAAAAGAAGACATTTATGCAGCCAAAAAACACATGAAAAAATGCTCACCATCACTGGCCATCAGAGAAATGCAAACCAAAACCACAATGAGATACCATCTCACACCAGTTAGAATGGCGATCATTAAAAAGTCAGGAAACAACAGGTGCTGGAGAGGATGTGGAGAAATAGGAACATTTTTACACTGTTGGTGGGACTGTAAACTAGTTCAACCCTTGTGGAAGTCAGTGTGGCGATTCCTCAGGGATCTAGAACTAGAAATACCATTTGACCCAGCCATCCCATTACTGGGTATATACCCAAAGGACTATAAATCATGCTGCTATAAAGACACATGCACACGTATCTTTATTGCCGCACTATTCACAATAGCGAAGAGTTGGAACCAACCCAAATGTCCAACAGTGATAGACTGGATTAAGAAAATGTGGCACATATACACCATGGAATATTATGCAGCCATAAAAAAGGATGAGTTCATGTCCTTTGTAGGGACATGGATGAAATTGGAAATCATTCTCTGCAAACTATCGCAAGAACAAAAAACCAAACACCGCATATTCTCACTCATAGGTGGGAATTGAACAATGAGAATACATGGACACAGGAAGGGGAACTTCACACTCTGGGGACTGTTGTGGGGTGGGGGGAGAGGGGAGGGATAGCTTTAGGAGATATACCTAATGCTAAATGATGAGTTAATGGGTGCAGCACACCAGCATGGTACATGTATACATATGTAACTAACCTGCACATTTTGCACATGTACCCTAAAACTTAAAGTATAATAATAATAAAATAAAATAAAAAATTAAAAAAAAACTCTGAATATGTGTATTTTTCATTAGTATATGAGCCTTGAGAATAAACTGACCTAGTACCTAGAAAATTCCCCGGTACATAAAAATTATGCAAAAATATTTATTGAGAAACAACAAAAAAATTAACAGTAGTAAAATGTATATTTTATGGTTCTTGCTAATTTTATAGCATATTTGTGTGTTTTAAGCCACTATATTCTAAAAATTAGAAAGAAAGAAAAAAAGCAAGGAGGAAGCTAGGGAAAGGACCAGCATAATCCAAAAGGCCTGTGTGGTTTTAATAAAACAGCAAGGAAAAGGGAATTTAGGACATCTGCATTCTCCCGTGGTGAGAGAAAAAAATCAAACAATATAAGAAATATTAAAAAGGAAAAGTTACTATTAAATTTTGAAGCTAATTATAAATATTGAATAAAATATTACATAGAAAGAAGAAAGCTGGTTTACATTGAAGCCTGAAAATAGTGGTTTAAATATGAAAGATGTGTTTGCTTCCTTTAATTATAAATATATCAAAAGAATAAGCTAAACTAACAGTAATCATATTATTCATTTGAAAATTTAGCTTAACTTTCAAATTTATTACATATATTTACAGAAACCTGCATCATGCTATCAGTAATGCGCTATTTAATTTAAGTGATGAAATGTAGTATCTTGTGTACCTACAAAGCATTACATAAATTTATAATAAGAAAGTGTTTATATATATGTATTTTTTTTCTATTGCAGCTGTAATAAATGACAGTAAATTTAGTGGCTTAAAACACACAAATGTAGTCTCTTATGATTCTGGAAGCCAGAACTCTTCCTTCTGGAGGCTGTAAAGAGAATTAGTTTCCATGCTCTTTCTACTTCTAGTTGGATACCTGCATTCTTTGGCTCATGGCCACATGCTCCATCTTCAAAGACAACAGTGTAGCATCTTCCATTCTGTGTGTGTGTGTGTGTAGCATCTTCCATTCTGTGTGTGTTTGTGTGAGAGTCAGTGAAAATGCGACACAGCAATGAAAACCACACAAACACACACACACACACACAGAATGGAAGACGCTACACACACACACATCAAATAAATCTTAGAGGCTATTACTGGTATATAAAGGGCCTTAAGGAGAAGGCAAATACACAGGAGCAGTGGAGGGAGGGGGTCCATAAACATTTGCACATCTGTCCTACACTTTATGAAAATGTCTAGCTTGGATTAACTTTATTTTAGTGTATATTTTTCATGCATCATTTTATCATGGCCAACTTAGTGCCACTAAAGAACCAGCAGGGTGATCAGGCACGGTGACTCATGCCTGTAATCCCAGCACTTCGGGAGGCCGAGGCAGGCGGATTATGAGGTCAGGAGTTCGAGAGTAGCCTGGCCAACATGGTGAAACCTTGTCTCTACTAAAAATACAAAAAATTAGCCAGGCATGGTGGTGGGTGCCTGTAGTCCCAGCTACTTGGGAGGTTGAGGCAGGAGCATTGCTTGAACACAGGAGGCGGAGGTTACAGTGACCCGAGGTTGCGCCACTGCACTCCAGCCTGGGTGACAGAGACTCCATCTCAAAAAAAAAAATAAATAAACCAGCAGGGCACACACAAAAATATAACTTCTCAGCTTTCCTTATAACGTTTGCCAGATTCTTGGTAATATTACATATTCAGAGGCTATTATTAAAGACCATTTACAAATTTTAACCTAAGGTGGTAAGCAGAAGTGTATTAATCCTTTCATAAAGGTTGTGTTCAGTGTACTCTACAATTTGTGTTACTTCTTTACTCAGGTCTGGGCAATGTAAGCCCAGGAGAGTTGCCTCCAGTCCCGCCTTGTCTAGCCATCACTTCCTGTGCCTCTGCATCAGGGCCCTGCACATGCTGGATGTGGCTGCATGAAGAACTTCTCCCAGAGGCATATTTGCTCTCATTAATCAATAAGAGATTTCTTAATATTATAAATTCTAGTAAAACTTTATTTTAGGATTTAACTATTTAATAATGGTCTCTTTGGACCTGGTCCTATATTAATGATTGATTTTTGAAATAATTATGATAAAAATAGTTTGTGTTTATGATTTTTAGTTTTTTTTCAGTTTGCCATTCAACGACACAACAAAACATTAGGAGTAATTCCTATTGAAAGAAGGTAGGCTTTGCAAGTCAATTAAAATTACAGAATGAAATGTGCTTCTCTGAAAGTAAAGAAGGAAATCAAGGAGAATGGGATAGTGAGGCCGCTGATCTGAGCAACATTGGGGTTCATGATAAAGAGAATGAGAGGAGGAATAAGAAAGTCATTCTTAAGTTCATCTGAAATCAAACAAATTATTTACCAGTGATTTAAAATTTCAGTGAGTTAGTATCTAACTTTGGTATAACACAATGTCACTCACTGATTCCCTGGAAAAAGCTTCTCTCACAAATGATGGAAAATAAATAGAAGAGAGAAAGACTGAATCCCTATTGAAGTGACTCATTCCCTGAAAGCACACAGATTGCTTATACCGGAGATGGTCACATTCATACATAAATGAAGGAAACAAAAACTCAGAATCAGAAATGGCTGTAATTAGAAGCCTGTGAAAGGTAGAACAGTTTAGAGAACTGTTGAACAGGAAAAGGTTGAAAAAAGGGGCAAAAACACCTCCTACAGATATATACGAGAAAGCTTCAAATAATAATAGCACCAATATATAGCTATAGGTTTAAAACACATATCTATGAAGAGAAAAATACAACAAAATTGGCACAAGTGATAATACTACCATGCCAGTATATCTGCTGCCTTAAGTTTGTGTCAGGTGAAACATGGAAAGTGAAAGCATAACAAAGTATTTTCAATATTGAAATGATTAAGGTTTTTTTTTTCCTAACAAACCACTTCATAGTTATTTTTAAATTGTTGATAATACTGCCTTTTTTTGTACATCAAATATGGCAAAGCATTGATGGATATCTCAAAGAAGAATAAAATAAGAATACTTAATTTTAATGAACTTATAATTTAGTGATATATACATATAATTTCAAATTATCTCTTTATCTACTTATTATGATCCAAAAAGGAATGATTTAAATAAAGTTCCATGAAATCATCTAAATAGTAATTTCATCATGACATTTATCTCAGCAACTACCTTGCCAAGACTACAACATATATGATAGGGAGTGATAGTGTCTGTTTGAATAATTGTATTAAAGTGAAATTAAAAACTCCTAAATGGAATCATACTTAAAAACTCTATTTTGTTAAACTGAAATGTCTCTTTTAAATTGATGCTTACTGTTTTTAATATCTCTTAGTTAAGTGTCTAAATTAATGCAATTTCCCTCTCTTCAGAATCAAACATGTTCAGCTCTTTTAATTTATGTTACGTATTTTTCCTGTATCTCCTGGATTATGAGCATCATTAAATTAGTTAAGATACCTACCTCTTTCTCATCTTCCTCTTTTCTACCCTTCTTCCTTTCCTCCCTTCTGTTCTTTCTCTGTTCCTTCTTGTCTTTCTCCTTCTGATTTCTATTTAATTAATTTTAATTGGCTTTACTTTTTTAAACAGTTTTAGGTTTACAGAAAAAGAAACAAAATCTATATGCCCATCAATCCTAGTTTCTCTTATTTTTAACATCTTTCTGTAGTGAGGTATATCTTATATAAATGTGGTACACTTGATAAGCCTATGTTGATTCATTGTTATTAGCTAAAGTTTACATTATGCTTTATACTTTGTGTTGATGTTCTATTGGGTTTAGCAAATATATAGGAATATATATCCTGCTATTACCCTTCCTCTTTTTTTTTCATTCTTTCTCTGTCCTTTTAATCCTCCAACTAATTATTAATAGACCAGGAATTATGACTTTAACAGTGTAGATACTGAGTGCAAAAGCGGGTAAGACAAAATATGCAACCAATTATCTCAAATGTTTAAGTAGGTGATAATAAACAGAAAACAAACTGAGATGACTCCCTGTTGCAAAGTGAAGATGATATCTTTGCAAACACAATAAAGGGAAGTAACTTACTATTTTGGAACAAACACAAACTTGAAAGATAAAGGTGTTTCCTAGAAAATACAAATATTATTTATTATTCCCCAGGAGAGGCATTTGTTCCACAAAGGAAATCTGGTAATTGTACTTTAAGAGGTATGCAATAATTTGATAGTGAAAGATATTAAGTGCTATGGTATAACGTGTAAAAGTTGGCCAAAAGCAATACTGCTTAAGGAAATTTACTGGTGATTTGGGAAAGAGGCATACATATTATGTGGTTATAAATGTCAAAATTCAAAAAGCAAAAAAAAAAAAGATCTTGCTAAATCTTAAATAAATAAATCCCAAACTAAAATGTGGCAACATCAATTTTTGATTACTTAATAAATTTAGACAAAATGTAGATAGAATTCATTTGACATAACTGATTTCCTCCATGAAACTTGAGAATTTTGACACATTGAAAGGAAACATAACATTTGAAATAATTGACACAGAAATATCACTTTCAGTTTTGTTTATTGATAGTCTTATAAACATTAGTGAGAGCAACAGAATACAAATTCCTAGGCAGACAGGGATGGGTCCCCACTGAAACCCAACCTTCAAGCCAAAGACAGCCTGAAGCCTGAATACCAACCTGTCAATTCTGGGTTAGGTCCACAACTGGAGTGAGAACTTCCTCACTACCTTTTAGCCAAAGAAATGGTACTTTATTCCAGGCCTGCCCATGGGTCAGTCAGCACACACTCCTCCATTCTGAGCCCATAAAAACCCCAGACTCAGCCTCACTGATGGCTACCCACTTTTGGGCCCCCTCTCACAAAGGGGGCTACTCACTTCAAGTCCCCTTTTGTCAAGAGCTTTTCTGTCTCTCAATAAAATTCTTCTTTGCCTAGCTCAATCTCCAGTGTCTGTGTACCTCATTCCTCTTGGTCACAGGACAAGAACCTGGAACCAGCCAAAGAGTCAGTGCAAAAAGAGCTGTAACATGTTCCTTGTTACCAAGCTATGAGAGTGAAAAAAACTGCTGGATGCCACACACCCCCATTTGCCAAGCTGTGTGTGGTGGGAACAAACAAAAGCTGTAACACCTACTGGGGGTTCAGACTTCGGGACTCCCTGAGCTAAAGCTGTAACACCCTCAGGGCTCTACGGTTGCTGGCATCTTTGAGTTTTTGGGCCCTGCCATGTACCCTTCATCCAGATGCCAGGGCCCAAGGTGGAAGCCAGTTACAGTGTGCCTGGATCAACCACAGGCTGAGCCTAGAGCCACAGCAGGCACAGGATCTGGGCTGGTAGCATAAGCTGATCAAAGCCTGCCAGGCCAAGTGGGTGGAATTAGCCCAGCCAGCCCCAGTGAAGCCTGAGCAGAGGTGCCATCAGCTGTGGAGATTTCTGGCTAATGAAGCAACACCAAAAAAATCCTATGTCATTAGCATTACATAGACTCATTATTTTATTAAAATTTATAGGAATAATATTTTTATTATTCGTTCAATTAAACTTTCATGTCCTACAATACATTACAATTCTGGGGAAATTTCTATTAACTTGCCTTATATTTCTATGTGAAGAGGTTTTGGTAGAATTAAGTCTCTTGCTTAATATCTCACATTATAAATTCATTTGTCCTCACTCTGTGACCCAATTGGTGTGCAGCATGCATTCTTCCACATTTCTCTAGATGGAATGCACTAATCTGTTAAACAGCCACAACAGGTGGAGATACTTTTTCTCTTCTTTTTTTTCTACCACAATAATGTAAGAAAACAAACCTGAATCAATATACCATGTTTTCTATGAAAATATTTTCTAGGAAAGGTTGTTTCAAGCTTGAGGATGAGAGTAGATATTCAAAATCTCAAATCTAGACCCATTTTCTCTAATTAGCCTATCAATACAAAGTGGACATATACATGTCTATTTACTAGACCCACTCTCTGTCTACTGTGTCTGGGACTAGGGCAAGGAAGAAAGAGTCATTAGTAGTTGAACTCTAAAATACAATATTTTTAATGTGTTCATAAAAGATACCTTCCCTTTCCAAAATTGTTCCCTTTTTTAGAATTTTTCGTATAGGCTTTAATTATATAGTTATATTTATCTAACATTTAACATTGACATTCTTTAGATGTATGTAAACACCTATTGATGTAAACATATTCAGCTAATTGTATTCATTTTTCTCCTTGAAACTAGTATAGATGAAATGAAAAATGTGTTGATAAGAAGTAAATGTTAAAATAAGAAACTGAAATTGTACTAAGGATGTGATATATCTTCATGAAATATTCTATGATAGTGATACAGATATGTAATCTTAGATCCAGACAAAGCCCTGATATTTAGAAATAAATCCAATAATGGATAATTTGAAGAGCAGTACAGATTGTACTTCATACTTTATACTGATAAGAAGGACAAGAGAAAAAAATGGGAGAGAGGTGGGGAGAGAGAGAGTGGAACTGAGCTGAATCAGATAAAATAGAAACAGATTTCTGTGCAATTGTGTAAGGAGATGAAATCTGATGCAATAGTACCAAGGTATATTAGGGTAAAATAGGAAACTTTAAACTCTGAAAAAGACTGGAAAATATACAATTTCTCTAGATGATAAAGAATGATAGTTGTTATTTTAGTATGTGCATATGTGTGGGGTAAGGTTAAAAGATGCTTATCTCCCAAGCTCAAACACAAGACTTAGTTATTAATATAACTTGTACACAAGGATATGAACTTTAAGATCACAATTGTAGTCCTAGTTTAACTGGAACTATAGAAAATGCCTCACTGTGTGTGTGAGCACACATGCACGTACATGTGAAAATTACCATCCAGAACATATTCTCATTTCAGACATTATCTTGTTCTCATCCCAACAAAAATTATTTTGCCAGAAAGCAACCTTAGCAACCTGAACTGCTAACCTCAATTCACTTGAGTTAACTCCAATTTACTTGAAATGATCTAATTATATATTTAAAGAGGATAGTCTTTGAAACCTGGAAAGTTTTAGAATAAAATACAGAGATGATGAGGTAAATCATACACATACTAATGATATTATTTAGGCTAAGTATATTATCTACAGATTTTAGGCTTTAGACTTTTAATTGAAAGTTCTTTGGGCGTTTTACTTCCTACAACATTAGAATCTTTAAGACAAGATACAATCTTATAAGTTTATTAAATTTACTCTTTTAGTTTAAATAATCATTATTATAGTGCCAAATGTTTGAAATTTTAAGAGAATACAATGTTAATTTAAAGAAATAAACTGTAAAAATCTCAAATAACCTGGTTCTATTATAGTAAGTTGTAGTAGTTTATCCTTTAGAGCACCATGTGATCCCTTCTTTCTCTCTCTTTGAACACCATCTTCTCTTTCTTTCTCCTTCCCAAAATAAATAACAGTATATATAAAACTATACTCTCTCTTAGGCCATGGTTTCTGACTGGTGTCCTTAAAGAAGTCACTGAAACTTTCTGGGTACCAATCATATCACTTATAAAATGAAACTTCTAAGTCAGATGATTTTTATTTTTTTTTTTGGACACAGAGTCTCGCTCTGTCACCCAGGCTGGAGCACAGTGGCACAATATCAGCTCACTGCAACCTCTGCCTCCCAGGTTCAAGTGATTCTACTGCCTCAGGCTCTCGAGGAGCTGGGATTAGAGGCGCCCACCACCATGCCTGGTTAATTTTGTATTTTTAGTAGACGTGGTGTTTTAACATGTTGGCCAGGCTGGTCTCAAACTCCTGACCTCAGGTGATCCACCGGCCTTGACCTCCCAAAGTGCTAGGATTACAGGTGTGAGCTAAGACACCCGGCCGAAGTCAGATGATTTTTAAATGTGCCTGCACCAAGCATCAAAAAACAAACGTACAAATATGTGAAACTCTAATCCAAAGAATCGGATCTGTTACATGACAATTTACCAAAAAGAAAAGTTAAAATCATATATATATATATATATATATATATATATAAAATCATATATATACACATAAAATCATATATATATACATAAAATCATATATATATAATCATATATATATATATATATATATATTTTTTTTTTTTTTTTTTTTGAGACGGAGTCTTCCTTTGTCGCCCAGACTGGAGTGCAGTGGCGCAATCTAGGCTCACTGCGATTCTCCTGCCTCAACCTCCTGAGTAGCTTGGATTACAGGCGCCTGCCACCATGCCTGGCTAAATTTTTTTTTTTTGTATTCTTAGAAGAGACCAGGATTTTACCATGTTGGCCAGGCTGGTCTCGAACTCCTGATCTCAGGTGATCTGCCTGCCTCAACCTCCCAAAGTGCTGGGATTACAGGTGTGAGCCACCATGCCTGACCTAAAATCATATTCTTACCCATGATTGAAATTACATGAGGCTGAGGAGAGATTGCTTCTTATAGAGACTAGCACTGAATAATCATTCAAGAGGATGTGCATGGATAGGGGTCCTTGGAATCCCTTGGAATCCACACAAAGAGGAGAGAGCTCACAGAGCACTTTGGCATTTGACTGAGACCACAAAATGCCATTAATTACCTCATCTTTTTGAAGTTTGAAATTATTTCTTGCAAATGTCTACTGAACATTTTAAAGATTAACCTGGACTGCTCCTTTTTCAGTTAGACTGTGCCTGATTCACATTTATTTTTGCAAGATAGCTAAAATGATCACTTTGCCCACACTTTAGAACATTTAAGTGCCCACACCTCCAGCGGGAAATTGTCTAACTTTTAAAGAAATTGTCTGTCCAAATGTGAATATTTGATTTTAGGCATGTACATAATGTTTTCTACTCCTGAGAAAATACCAATTTAAAGTGTTATAGAAGATTTATTACCATGACTCTAAACATTTAACCTGATTCTTAAAATCACACCTAAAATCTCACAAGCTAAAATACTTTTTTATTAAAAAAAAGACAAGTTACTGTTAGACATTGGAATGGCTTTAGTTAGTCATCTTTGAGAAGTTAAATAAAGCAATTAGTCTTCAGGTTAAAAAAAAAAAAAGCAAAAGCACCTAGACATAATCATTAGTGTTCAATGTTAATTTAAAAAAAAAACTGTAAAAATCTCAAATAACATGGTTCTATTACAGTAAGTTGTAGTTTATCCTTTAGAGCACCATGTGATCCCTTCTTTCTCTCTCTTTGAACACCATCTTCTCTTTCTTTCTCTTTCCCAAAATAAATAACAGTATATGTAAAACTATAGTCTCTCTTAGGCCAAGGTTTCTGACTTGTGTCCTTAGATTCATATGACCTAGCAGAAGTCCATGCATTTCAGGCTCCAAACAGCTGGCTGGACATTCCCTCAAGAGATCACTTACAAGACTTTTTATTTTCTTTAAGGATCAAGTTATTTATAACAACTAAAGAAAGAAAGAGATAAAGGCTACAGATCAAAGGTCTAATTTCATCCCTTTAATTTTTTCATCTCAAAACACATGTTCCTTTAATATTTTTAATTGCTTGTTTCATTACTATTGCTTATATTTAATTTTCTAATTATTGATATTTTAAAATGTTTCTATAATTATTCATATTATTCCTAAACTATTCTTTTGATATTTTAATCATCCATTTTCTAATGCCTTAATTAATTTTTATATATTTGAGATGTATGTTAAATTAACTTGTCTGAAATCAACGAGGAATTAGGAGATGTTTATATCCACACAGCAGTTTACAAAGGGTAATAGCTGCTTCTCAGATGTATCTAAGGAAGGAACCAAGACGTAAGAAGAAATGATCTTCAAAATAGAATGTCCTTTTGACTTCTTATCTTTCAGCTAAGTTGTTGCTGTTGACTCATGCTTTTTAATCTTCCACTAGTCTGAACTACTGGCTTCAGATCTGGGTTTTCTTTTTTTCTTGGATCTGATTGGATTTGGGGAGTTGGCTTCAGTTTGTACTCTTTGACACCATACACCTGACATTTTCTACAATTCTACGTCTGGTCTGGTTTTCATTTTGTTGTTGTTGTTGTTACAGTTGTACCTGTATTTGTTTCTTATGGCTGTTTTAACAAATTACCACAAACACAGTGGCTTAAAACAACGCACATCTATAGTTTTACATTTCTGGAGTCCAGAATTCCAAAATCAGTTCACTAGGCTAAAGTCAAGGTGTCAGTCGGGCTGGTTCTATCTGGAGGCTCTGAGAGAATAATCCATTCAGCTTTTTGACTGTCACCATATTCCATTGCTTGTGGCCCCTCCTTTTATATTCAAAGTTGATGACTTCAATTTCTGCTTCCATTATTGTATCAACTTTTCCTCTTCTGTACTCAAATCCCTCTCTGCCTCTCTTTTGTAAAGACACTTGTGATTAAGTTTAGGACTACAAGATAATTCAGGATACTCTATCTAAAGATATTTAATATGTATTCTTTTTACATTTAAGGAAAAGACATGGCTTCCTACTATGATTAGCTAACACAGATGTAAAGATCCTGGCCAATGCTGTAATAAAAGAAAAAAATAATAATAAGGATGTCAGAATAAGGAAAAAAGATATAATTTGGTTATTATTTTAAGAGTATTTTTTATCTGCCTAGTAAAACCAGGTACAAATTAATGTCTTCAGAATAAATGAGAGGCCAGGTGCAGTGGCTCACACCTGTGTAATCCCAGCATTTTCAGAGACCAAGACAGGAGGATTGCTGGAGGCCAGGAGTTCAAGACCAACCTGGTCAACATAGAAAGACTCTGTCTCTACAAAGAATCACAATAATAATAATAATAATAATAATAATAATAATAAATCATTCAGGTGTAGTGGTACATGCCTGTAATCCTAACTACTCAGGAGGCTGAGGCGGGAGAACCACTTGAGCCCAGGAGTTCAAGGTCACCATAAGCCATGATTGTATCATTGTACTCCAGCCTGGGCAATAACAAAATGAAGACTTTGTTTCTAAAAAATCAATAAATAAAAATAATAATAAAAATAAAATAAAAATAAATCAGTAAGTAAATAAATCAGAGTATTTATATATAGCATAAATAGATACAATTTTTATTTGTCAATTAAAAAATAAGAAAAAGGAATAAAAAATCCCACAGGTGTTTCTAACCTTTTTCAGTGCAAATACCACATATATATACACATACATATGTATATATATACACACACATATGTATATATATACACACACATATGTATATATATACACATACATATGTGTATATATATACACATACATACATATACATATATACATATATATAAAATAAAGGTTTCTGCAAAGTTAAAAAAAGCAAAATAAAATAATATAAATTGAATAAGAATTCAACAGGGTAATACCTACTAGATCAACTTAAAAATCAATATTATTTTAATGTATAATTAAATAACCAACATGATATGCATTTAAAAAGTAGAGACTGTGTTGTCAATCTAGCAAAATTTCTTATTTTCCCCAGATCCCCAATATTATCAATTATGTTTAAAATTTGCATGGGATTCAGAAGGGTGAAGCAGAAATAATTCTTTTTTTATCCCGGAAATTTGCTGTCAGGCTCCAAGCACAGTATTAGGTCAAGCACACTGCCAATGATCTGCAAGATTATCTTGGTGTGAGTAGAAAGAAGCCAAGTGCACAGCTCTTCCAGGTACTACCGGATCTTCCCTTGTAGATTCTACAAATCCTGGACCAGATACATGGGCATCTGTAGCTCTGTGGTTAGGATGCTAACTTCTCATGAACCTTCAAAATTGGAAATGTTGAGAGACACATATAGGTTCATGCAGGTCTATTGTTGCAGTAAGTGCGTTCTACCTGATTCTTCTGAGTTTCACCTCATCATTATTGCTTTAAATTTGTCCTCATGGGATTTTGTCTGTCCTGCTTTTCCCCATTTTACATCCCAATACAGTTGCAGTCTTGACTGACCTAAGTCGCCTCAAACGCAACAGCATGTGCAGAAGCAACAGCCAGCCATGCAGAGACATTTCAATTAACCCTGTGATTGCATAAGCGCTTATAACTATAATAAGCTTTTTCTTGTACATCACTCGTATGGGTTCTTATTCCCTGACAGAATCGTAGCGGACAATTGTACCATATATTATAGAAACAAAAACAACAAGAATCTAGAAATTAATCTAAAAATGCTAAGACTTCCATTTGGAAAACTCTAATTCTTTATAATAAAGAATTAGAAAAATATGTAAATGAATGAAAAGACATCTTGTGATATTAATGGAATGACATATTATAAAGTTTTTCTCCAAATAATTTTTAAATATGATTGTATTTAATCAAAATTCTATTTCAATATTTATTTTGAAACATGATAAGCTTGTACTAAGATACATGTGGAAGAATAAAAATTCACCAATAGCTATTTCAACTGCTAACTTACAAAGTATAACTAGGTAAATATTCCTCCAGATATTAAGATATTTAATAAAATCATTCCAATGAAAGCAGCATGCTATTGTTTCAGGAAAGGTTCAATTGCATAAACTATGAGTCAATTCAAAATGATGTAGATAATATGTCTCATCTGCATCACAAGAGTGTTGACTAAATTACATCTTTGTAAAAATTCTAAAGTCAAATTGCTGGTAGTGGCTGAGTCAATATAATATTTCTAATCATACCTAATATTGATGTTTTTTGTTCAATTCATGTTTACAGTTAGCAGTTTACTTTTCTATTCCTGCTATCATAAAATTAGTAGTTAAAACAATACAATCTATTATCGTACAGTTCTGTAGGTTACAAGCCTGACATGGGTCTCGGGCTAAAATGAAGGTTTTCACAGGCCATTGTTTCTTTTTTTTGAGGCCTCCAAGGGAAAATACGTTAACTTGTCTTTCCAGCTTCTAGAAGTCACTCAGCTTTATTTGCTCGTGGCCCTCTTCCTACACCTTCAAAGCGGCACCATTGCGTTTCTCTCATCATTCTTCTATGTCACAAGTCCCTGTGACTGAACATATCCAGAAACTGTTCTCTGATTTTAATGACCCATGTGATTAGCTAGAACCTACCTGCATAATCTAAGAGAGGCTGCCTACCTCAATGTACATAACAATCTTATCTACAGATTCCCTTGTGTCATGTGAGTTAACATATGCACAGGTTCCAGAGATTAGTATGTCGTCATTATCGGGGGACCTTATTTTGCCTATCACATACATACTCATTTAAAGTGATATAGCAAGTGGCTATGTGACCAAAAAAGAGTTACATGAAGTTTCCCAATTCAATCCAAAAACCCTCAGCATTTCTAGACCTGTGGATTTAATCCCACTGCAGGGATACAAACTGTTCTTCCCTTTCCCAACGTGTGAAGGTCAAGTCATTTTCCAGAGCTTCTGACCTTGCTTTGATAAAACCCTTTTTTGCCAGATGCTATCCAAAATATTACTCTAGGCTTCCCAGACCTATCACCATAGTAATATTTCTTGAAAATGTTAGGGCTTGAGACTGATAATGATCAATCTAAGTCATAGTTTTATTCCAATTTATGTGATTTTGTTTTCTTTAGAAGCACCTTACTTCATGCATATGGATAAAACAGATGGTTGCCTTTAAATAGAATCAAATTAGAGTTAGATGATAAAAGTGTAATATTTCATCAGAAAACCAAGCATATTCAGGGGATATCAATAAAGTGAGCTCTTAAGAAAATAGCCATATAATTGAGGTTGATGATGGACAGGGGTAAGTGGATATGTCAGAGGGTGAAATAACGTGATAATGTAAAAGAACAATTGAAGAGAAGGTACTTGAATAAGCATATTGCATGTTAAGAGACTGCAGTTGGAAAATAGCATGTCTGAGTTTGTGATGTAAGAGATGATTCAGTTTTGAATGATAACAAATTCCAACCTAAGACTGTAATTGAAGTGGAGTGGAGGAGAAGGCATATGATGGATGGGCCATTCACAGGGATGTTTAAATAATACATGTTAATGAGAGGAGTTTAAAACAGTACAAGAATGTGATGCAGGAGCTTAAGCTGTTGATAAATGTTAGAGAGTTAACATAAGTAAATAGATAATCTTTATGTGAAGGACATGAAAAAGCAAGAGACACATAGTACTGAGAAGAACCAGAATTTTTAACACACTATAGAACAGAAATACCTTAAAAATTTGTTTGCAAGTGAGGGTGATACCAAATTCATCTCCATACCCTGAGTTATATGTGGCATGAAAGAAAAATGACACTGTTAAGTGACACGGGAAATAAAGTCCACAGGTGATATTAGTATTTTAATAAAAAGAAGAAAGACAAAGTAACATTCAGAGGAACATTTGCTGACCATTAATGGACATTTCAAAGTACATTTTAAAAAGTTGGTCAGTTGGAGGGAAAGGAGTTATTAAGTAAGTGTAAATGTGCACATAATGTAATTTAAACTAAATACATAACTACCAGTATGGTGCAGGTACCAAACAAGCAGAACAGATGCTAACCAAAAATAACCAATAGAACTATACTTGTTTTTCACCGCCAAACATCAGTGTTAGTGTTATCTTCTAGTGAGGATAGATAGAAAACCTGAATGTAAGGCAGCGTAATAAATAAAAAGAGGTTTCAGGCAGGGATCTTGTAGTGAAGAGAACACAGGTTTGAGGTGATGGACTTTGTATTCACTGTCCTTGGATGGTGTTGGTGGTTGCAATGATTGTTGTTATTTTTGTCAACCATGTGCAAATGAATCAGTCAGATGGTTTATTCACCCTTGAGACACATTTGGCTGTAATTCTAAATAAGTCAAGCATCTTCAGGGAAGCTACAGCAAAAATCAGAAAGAAAAATTCAAAATGCCTATTGATTTATGGGGAGGCATAGCTGCTCTCCATGATCAAAATAGGTGGGAGGTTATCCCATATCACATACTGAGTACTCTTTCCAGCTACACCGTGTGTGTGTGTGTGTGTGTGTGTGTGTGTGTGTGTGTGTGTGTGTGTGTGTGTGTGTCTTGGGGTGGGGGACATAAACTGAACAGTCCTTCCCTTAGCTTTGGTGTTTATAAACATTAATTCTGTCTTATCATACCTTCTCTTTTTCTTCCTGGGGTTAGCTATGGAGGATTTTCTGGCTGTTTTTGCTCCTCTGTACAGAAAATGGCATTAACTCTAAAGGCCAAGCCCTCAGAAGGCAGCAATGTTTTCAGAAAGGGCTTCTGGAATATTCTGTGTTTTTGCTATGCTTCCTGAGATAACAGCAGAAATGTTTATCCACAGGATGATTCCTGTAATCTATAATTCCATTGCTTTTAGATAGCAAATTTGAAGCAACCTTACTCATATACAGGTACAAAACTGAAAGCACAGTACATGCACTTTGACCTATTATCTTGGATTTACTTCTGCTTTCAGAAGTAAGTCAATGCTGATTTCAAGGCCTGCACTTACTCTTGAGGCAGAGTAGGCCTAAGAAATAAAAAATTAAGAATTGATTTACCATTCAGGGGAGCCTTCTGTGAGATACCTTTTAGTGGATTCATTTATTTACAACTGGTAAATGCTAAAATTACGCACATATTATATGTTTGATTTATAAAAATCAGAAAAAATTCCTGAAAAATTCTACAGAATTATCAACCTTATTTTCTGCCTTATTCAACTCTATATCCAATAAGTTAATAACTATTATAGATGCCAATATTTCTGGATAATTTCAGATGCCTGACTTCTAATCTGAGTATAGTAATTGGTGCTATAATCCAATAATTTTGTCCTTTAATATCATTCAATAATATTTGCACATTTTCATTCTTCAGCTGATATCAGTACTTTTTCTGTCTAACAATCTATTCCCTTCAAGAAAATTGAAACCATTAGTCAGGAACTATATCCGTTTCCATATTTTTGCACTCAAAACAAATTTTATAAACACACGTGTGTGCATGTGCATGCACACACACACACACACACTCTTCTCAGGGAGACCCCTTCTTTAAATCCAGTTTCTCCAGTGGTTTTACTAATCCAATCCTTATCTATCCCATTTAAAATCTCTTCAAATATATTGAATTCATGGATTGATTACTCCATCTTGGCTATATAACCCAATATCAAAAGATGCTCAGGCCTTTCCCAAGAAAAACAAGAAACACTCCAAGATCTTACCTTGCTACAGTATTTCGTGAAATGGAAGGCATCATTTTATGACCTACTTTCACCTATTAACAGAATGTCAATCAGAATTATTTCCTTATTTCCCCCATAACATTTTTACAATGAAGACATATTGATCTCATGATTTGTTATTCTATTAGATACTTTCTCATCTTTCTCCTACAGAAAACTCTACGGTGTATTGTATGCTGTCCATCAAAGCCTCTTTATAAAATTTTTTATGCCACTGAATTATTTCTGAACATGTTTTACTGATGCTGTTTCCACTTCTTATATCTTCTTTCAATTCTAGATCTTTTATGAGAGCCTTATTTATTCCCATGCATTAATGCTCATTCTTTCCATTTTTTTTCTAAAATTCTACTCATTCTCCCGTCTATATATTTTCTCTAAAACGTTTATTTTCTTATTGCTTCAGTTACTACTTGTATGTCAAATGCTAGCTAATCTCTAGATTGGGCTCTGAATGACATAGTTTGTAGCAAAACTTTTTGGATTATCACCATCTTCTCAGATTATCTCAATCTGGATGTTCTATATAAAAACTGAATTTCATTATGTCCTTCAAAAGAGTATTTTTAGTTTATTTTAATTGCTTTGTACATATATCCACTTTTGCCCACTTCTTTTAACTCACTTCCTAACCTTCAAGGATTCTCCTTCCTTCACTTCATATCCGACAATACATATATGAAAGGACAAGCAAACAGGCCACCTCCCAGCACAGTTTTTATATATGTGCTCCAGACTTATGTCCATTTTCTGCAGACTAGCCTTCTCTATATTTGCCGCAGGAATTTTGTGTTTTATATATGCCTTCCCACACCTGTTTCATAGCTTCCTGTTTTCATTTCTCATTTCTGCCATCATCTTTCAATCTCCCAAGTAAAAAAAAAAATGTTATTTGCCCTTAACTCTTCCTTTTATTAACTTCTGGCATATAATCAATGAACAGATATTGCTTATTTTTCTTCTTTGTTATGTAGCAGATCCTTATTTTACAAGTATTCCTTACTTCAGCTCCTGCTATTTATGTTGACATGAAAATAACCATGACAAGCAAATAATGTTAAGTTGATCACTTATTAAATTTGTCCATTATAAAAAATCTTTTCTCAAGTCTAGATTCTATTTCTTACCTATAACACCAATCTGTTTGTGAATTAGTTTCCTGCTAATTATGAGATATATAATAAATATGCAGTGCAAAACAACTGCAAAATAAAGTTATAAATTTAGCATGAAATACAATTTCATCAAGTTCGTAAAAATGATCTTGGACACATAATAAAAGTCAGAGTAAATTAAAGAAAAAAAACAAAGTTAAAGACAGGTAGATGCTGGAAAAGAAAGGATACAAAGTCCCATAGACAACTGAAGTATCTCTTGATTACTTATGAAAAAAAATTCCCTTCATGATTTTGATGCAAAAGTCAAACGTGAAATAGAAGACTTGATTATACAGTTTTACATACTGTTTGAAAAAAATAAAAAAGGTAATCACTACTGGATTCAGACTCTGGGGCAGTAATAAACATTTATACAAATATAACCTATATTTCGTTAAATTCAGGACACAATTCAGTATTATTTTATAATAATTTTTAGTTTTATTGTTTATAATAAGTGTTAGTATATATTTTCACTATTTGTAATAAACTTCTATTTCTCATTTTAGTTAATTTACTTTAATGAGTCATTTTTTAGGTGTCAATGAGGTTTGTTATAAGACCAAGATTGATTTCATGTATATTCCCCAGTAAATATACTCTTTAAATAGAGTAATATTTCCTTGTTTATTTTTTCCGGGGGGGGGGGGGGGTTTGTTTTTTGAGACGGAGTCTTACTCTGTCACTCAGGCTGGAGTGCAGCAGTGCAATCTCGGCTCACTGCTGCAACTCCACCTCCCAGGTTCAAGTGATTCTCCTCCCTCAGCCTCCCGAGTAGCTGGGTCTGCAGGCGTGTGTCACCATGCCCAGCTAATTTTTGTATTTTTAGTAGAGATGGGGTTTCACCATGTTGGCCAGGATGGTCTCAATCTCCTGACCTCGTGATCCACCTGTCTCGGCCTCCCAAAGTGTTGGGATTACAGGCGTGAGCCACCACATCTGGCCATTTCCGTGTTTTGGTATTTGCTTTTTTGCCCCCCTCCACAACAATATATGTATAAGCTGTTAAAGAATAATTTAATGTTACTTTAAAAAAAAAACTGTGTCAAACACAGCACCTGAGACCACATAGGTATCCAAATAATATCTACTGCCCGGGTTCTTAGAAACTCTGGCCTCACAGAGTGATCAATCTAATACTTAAAGCCATTTTCTGATATAGGAGGGAGAGTTATTAAGAACTCACTCATCCCTCAAAAAAAAACCACATAAAAATATGAAAATGATGAATACTAAAGAAAAAGAAGGAAGGAATAGAAAGACATACTAGTTTCCAGCAAGAGAAAGCACACGTGTGTGTGTGTGTGTGTGTGTGTATGCATGTGTGTGTGTGTGTGTGTGTATCTCATATCTATTGTTGGTTCACATCCAGTCATTATTAATGGATATAATTCCAGAGTTAATGTGTTCAAAATATAGCTATATTTTTGAAAAATAAATTATCACAAAATAAAATGACTATTAAATACTTTGATTAAGAGAGCAAAAATCATTTCCAATTGATCAGAAATCAAATATAAAATCAGGCAGAAATCAATGTTTTTCATTAACACATGGAAAACTATGTGGACATGTTTCAAACCTCACAATGATCTATGAGAAAAACTGACAAAATGTTAGCAAGAAATCTCAAAATTGCAACATAGTAGTGGAAGTACTTCATGTATTAAACAATAGCTATAAAAGCCTATATTTAAAAATTAAGATATTGTTATTTTTTTAAAAGGAGATCATGAATACAATAAGTACTTCAACAATTTAATGGTAATATTTGTATTATAGTTATTGTATTCTTGTAGTAAGAAAGGGAAATCCCTTGTTGACCCAATGATTTAAGAATTTAATACTGGCATATCAGAGAATTATATGTGCAATGAAACTAATTATGCTGATAATGCTTCTAATTGTAGACAGATACCTAGGGGGATAAACATATTTTTGTAATATTTCTTTTAAACGCACAATTAGAACATAAAATCTTAGATTTCATTGCAAGCATCAGAAACAGATTATATATATAAATTATCCATATAATCAATAAAGTCTCTAACTGTGTGAGAGTATTTGTAGTATGTATATAACATATTTGCTCTAAGGATGGGTTTTAGAAAAAACACTTCACATTTATAGGCTTTGCTGTTAATACCCATACATATTTATAATGATCCTCCTAAAAAAAGTACTGTGAAACTTATGAAGCATAAAGTTTCATGGGTATAGCATGTTTTTATACTGATTAGAAAAAAATTTCTTGAGATAAATGTACTAGCTCAGAAAATGTTGAGAATAAATTTGGGCAATAATTCATTGAAAACGAAACATAAAAGAGAAGGAAGGAGAGAAGGGAGGAAGGAAGGGAGGGAGGAAAGAAGGAAGGAAAGAAACACGGGAGGTGTGGAGGGAGGAAGGAAGAAAAGAGAGAGAAACTGAGAGAGAGGGAGGAAGAGATAGCTCATAAGCTGGGAAAAGGAGGAAAAGGAGAAAGAAAAGACTGGGGAAATGAGGTATACTGATACATCCCATAGAGAGAGAGAGAGAGAAAGAAAGTGAGAGAGAGAGAGACAGACAGAGACAGAGAAAGAGATAGAGAGATGTTTTATGTATGAAATTGGCACATGAAATTATGGGAGCTGAGATCCTAACATCTGCAGGGTGAGTCTGCAAATTGAAGACCTACCTATATTTACTCAGTCTACAAATTTAAATGTAAATCTCTTCCAAAACCATCCTTACGGAAACATCTAGAATAATGTTTGACCAAAGGTCTGAGTACCCACAGCCCAGTTAAATTGAAACATAATAATAATCTATGAAAAGCCACACAGTAAATTACCGTACTGATTTTAAGATGTAAAATAACAAAATTCATCATCATTGGAGGGAAGACTGATGGAAGGAAGGCAAGAAGGAGCAAAACTCTCGGAGCAGAGTACATAGTACACTGGCTAGATGAATGAATTCTCCATACAAACTGAGAGGGGTAGATTAGGATTCTTTCCATGGGCATAGCATGTAAGATATTAAATATTTCAGATTGGGAAGTACCACGTCCCATGTCAGAAGCACATGCAGACAATGCAGGAATGTCTTCCGTGGCAAGATTTCATGTTAGGTTCAGAGGGAAGGTAGTTTCCTATCACCTATTTACAAGTCCAGAAATGTCACACGTGTCCCATGGGATACTCTTCCTGTGGGCACTAAGTGAGGTAAGGGAAAGTGAGCTCAGGAATCAGTAGTCTTATCTTCCTCTCCCTCCCTCCCTCCACCTCTCCTTCCTCCTACTTTTCTCTTTCAACAAGAGTTCGTTCTCTTTGATTTGGCATAGACTTTGTAGCAGTATGGTGAAGCAGTATGGTGAACCCCTTTTCAAAATGTTTTTTAAAGTAAAAAAAAAAGTTTTAAAAATATACGGGATTATAAAGGGAACCAGTTCTGTTAACACAGCTATTAAAATTATAATATGAAAATTTATGTGATTCTATGTCAATTCATTGATAAAAGTGATACCATACAGCCTCATGTTAACAAAACACCAAAATTTTAAAGTAGTTAGGAGCACAAGTGACTTTTATGAAAATACGCAACAAATATAATGGGGAATGTAAATATCTGTGACATTTAATTTTAAAAAATGTTACAGATATTGCTCTTACTGATGCGGTTTGCAACTGAGGTTCATAATTGAATATTAAATGTCAATGAGAGCATAAGAAAATAAAGTTGTAATTTTTTCTATTTAAATTCATGAAATCTCCTCATTCTATCCAGGAATCCCTGGGGGGTGGCTGCACCATTTTGGTAGACAAAAGGCAATAAGCCTTATATAAAGGAGCCACAAGCCCATGCTCTATTCTCTCTATGGTTTGGAAATAGCCTTTGTAAAACCCACTGCTCTTGAATAAAATTACAGTATTTGATGTTTTAAAATTCAATGAACCTATGAATATTTAAAGTTTTTTTAATTGTTTTTATATTCCAGATCTTAGTATACAAATAACTTTTATATCCCAGATCCTAGAATACAAATAACTAAATCTACCCAATTATGCTGAAACCCTTTCTTCTTCCTATTTTAATACACAGTCTAAATAAAACATTTACATTGATATAGTCAAGCCAGAAAAGTGTGAGATCTTAATGATGCTTATTCTTCCTTAAATTTATAGAGATTGATAGAATCAATGCTCAATTACATAGGAAAAAAATCATGAAAAGTTAGGTCTACCTTGCTTTTTAAATTGCCTTAATCATTGTATATAAATCAGAATACAGATATAGATTTCATATATCTGGTAACCTTTCCTTAATGCAGTGTTTCATTTTCTTTGCTTAAAATAGAAATAAGCAATTTATTTTTATAGTACATAAAATAGTTAATAGTTCATAGTATCTGACTTCAGATGAATGAGAAGGAATAAAAATGACTACATATGTGATGCTGTCAGCATATACAAATTCAAACTCCAGCATTGAGCCTTCCTTGAGCAGCTGAAATCTTAAAATTTTAGAAGCATAATTTGCCACCACATTTTATTAATTATTCTTGGTCATTGCTTATCTCCATCATTGAAAGAAGCCACTGAATCAGAGAACATTGCTCTAGACTAATAGTCAGAATAAGCTCATGTTTAAATATCATTTTTGTTAATGTCTGAATTTGTAACTATTGCAAGACCCTTATTTCTCAATTCCTCAGTTAACTGCATAATGAAAGCTGAGGGGTCACATTCTTTCAATAACTAATTTAGATATTGTTGGAGGGAGTATCTTAAGTTCAATTACACACTATACTTTCATATGGTTGTTGTAGGAAAAATTAAATGTACACAATTCAGGATAAAGTTATTCTATTCAAGTTTTGTAGGTTTGTTTGTTTTTGTCTCCCTTAACTTTGTCTTAGAAAGTGTGCCTACAAGAATACTCTTGAAGTGCCACAGCAAAGTGGGGAGAAAAGGTCATTTGGTCTTTAGTTCTTGGTCTCTGGGCATCTAAGGTAGCATCTAGTGAGTTTCCTATCATCTCTTCTGGTCCTTTATGTTCTCATCAGTTTAGACGTTTTCATTTGCACAAGTCTCAACGTTTCATTTATTCCAGCATACACTGCCACATCTTGCGTGTCCTGAAAATAAGACCTCTTTTTCCTGGCTCTCAGTGCAATACTCTTTTAGCCAAAGGGAAAGGATCAACTTGCTTCTTTTTCCTTGCCTGGGTGTAGGGAAACTGTGTCTTCTTCCATCCCATCTTCGTAAACATTGTACATAACCATACTGTTTTTACACTAGCCTGAACATTGTTTCTTATCTATGAGGCCCACCTGTTTTCTTGTATCCTACCTGGTGAGAGGTGACAGCATGATGGCAGCCCTCGCAGTCCTTGCTCGCTCTCGGTGCCTCCTCGGCCTCGGCGCCCATTCTGGCTGCGCTTGAGGAGCCCTTCAGCCCGCCGCTGCACCATGGGAGCCCTTCTCTAGGCTCCCTCGGCTTGCGAGGAGGTGTGGAGGGAGAGGCACGGGCGGGAACCCGGGCTGCGCGCGGCGCTTGCGGGCCAGCTACCGTTCCGGGTGGGCGTAGGCTTGGCGCCCCCGTACTGGGAGGGGCCGGCCGGCGCGGCCGGGCCGCAGGCAGTTAGGGGCTTAGCACCTAGGCCAGCAGCTGCGGAGGGTGCGCCGGGTCCCCCAGCAGTGCTGGCCCACGAACTCTGCGCTCGCTTTCTCGCCGGGCCTTAGCTGCCTCCCCACGGGGCAGGGCTCGGGACCTGTAGCCCGCCATGCCTGAGTCTCCCCCGACCCACCGTGGGCTCCTGCGCGGCCTGAGCCTCCCAAGGAGCGCCGCCCCCTGCTCCAGGGCGCTCGGTCTCATCAACCGCCCAAGGGCTGAGGAGTGTGGTGCACCGCACGGGACTAGCAGGCAGCTCCACCTGTGGCCCCGGTGCGAGATCCGCTGGGTGAGGCCAGCTGGGCTCCTGAGTCTAGTGGGGACTTGGACAACCTTTACCTCTAGCTGAGGGATTGTAAACACACCAGTCAGCACCCTGTGTCTAGCTCGGGGTTTGTGGATGCACAAATCTCCACTCTGTATCTAGCTAATCTGGTGGGGACTTGGAGAATCTTTATGTCTAACTAAAGGATTGTGAATGCACCAATCAGCACTCTGTGTCTAGCTCAAGGTTTGTAAATGCACCAATCTGTGCTCTGTGTCTAGCTGATCTGGTGGGGACTTGGAGAACCTTTATGTCTAGCTAAGGGATTGTAAATACACCAATCAGCACTGTATCTAGCTCAAGGTTTGTAAACACACCAATCAGCACCCTGTGTCTAGCTCAGGGTTTGTGAATGCACCAATCAGCACTCTGTATCTAGTTAATCTGGTGGGGACTTGGAGAATATGTCTAGCTAAGGGATTGTGAATGCACCAATCAGCACTCTGTATCTAGCTCAAGGTTTGTAAATGCACCAATCAGCACTCTGTGTCTACCTCAGGGTTTGTAAATACACCAATCCACACTCTGTATCTAGCTAATCTAGTGGGGAGGTGGAGAACTTTTGTGCCCGGCTCAGGGATTATAAACGCACCAATCAGCACCCTGTCAAAAAGGACCAATCAGCTCTCTGTAAAACAGACCAATCGGCTCCCTGTAAAATGGACCAATCAGCAGGATGTGGGTGGGGCCAGATAAGGGAATAAAAGCAGACTGCCCCAGCCACCAATGGCAATCTACTCCGGTCGCCTTCCACACCGTGGAAGCTTTGTTCTTTCACTCTTTGCAATAACTCTTGTTAGTGCTCACTCTTTGGGTACACACTGCCTTTATGAGCTGTAACACTGGGAAGGTCTGCAGCTTTACTCCTGAAGCCAGCAAGACCACGAACCTGTTGGGAGGAACGAACAACTCCCGATGTGCCGCCTTAAGAGTTGTAACAGTCACTGTGAAGGTCTGTAGCTTCACTCCTGAGCCAGGGAGACCACGAACCCACCAGAAAGCAGAAACTCCGAATACGTCCGAACTTCAGAAGGAACAAACTCCAGACACGCCGCCTTTAAGAACTGTAACAGTCACCGCGAGGGTCCCCAGCTTCATTCTTGAAGTCAGTGAGACCAAGGACCCACCAATTCCGGACACACTGGGAAGTTAGGTTATCATAAGATCATTCAGCAGATATTCCAAACATCTGGCCTTTGATTTGCTCTATCTCCATCTTGCCATGAAGGAGCTTAGTCTGGAGGTAGAGGAGCAGAAAGCAGGGCTCCTGCTGAGACCAACTCCTGTTGTCAACCTGTTCTAGTACCCAAGCTAACAGGCATTAATTTTTTTGTTCAATTTCTTAATGAGAGGAAAGTGGAAAAAATCCTATATCAGACACAGGGAATGTGAATAAATAAATAATAATTAAAAATACATCAAAAGGCCGGGCACAATGGCTCAGGCCTGTAATCCCAGCACTTTGAGAGGCCGAGGCGGGCAGATAACAAGGTCAGGAGATCGAGACCATCCTGTGAATGATGAAACCACGTCTCTACTGAAAACACACACACACAAAAAAAAGTTAGCTGGACATGGAGGCGGGCGCCTGTGTCCCAGCTACTCGGAAGGCTGAGGCGGGAGAATGGCGTGAACCCGGAAGGTGGAGCTTGCAGTGAGCCGAGACTGCGCCACTGCACTACAGCCTGGGTGACAGAGTGAGACTCCGTCTCAAAAAAAAAGAAATGCATCAAGAATACATGAACATATATATTCATTCCAGATACCTAACTTTGAAATATTAAAGGCAAATGATTTACTATCTTTTAAAATTATTTTCCTAACACACAAAAAAAACAAGATATAGAAAGTTTAGCATTAGGCTGGGTGGGGTGATGGAACAAGCCGATAATCCCAGCACTTTGGGAGGCCAAGGTGGGAGGATTTCTTGAGCCCAGGAGGTCAACACCAGCCTGGGCAACATAGGGAGACGCCATCTCTACAACAAATTTAAAAATTACCCGGGCATGATGGCATGTGACTGTAGTCCCTGGTATGCAGGAGCCTGAGGTGGGAGGATTCCTTGAACCTGGGAAGTTGAGGCTACAGTGAACTGTGATCACCCCACTGCATTGTAGCCTGGGAGACATAGCAAGACCTTGTCTCAAAAAAAAAAAAAAAAAAGAGAGAAAGAGAATGAGAAAGAGAGTTCAGCATTAGGGTGTGGAATAGTGGAGTAGTACTGAGTAAAAGGAATTAATGAGAATGAAAAACTCATTAGGAGATCAAAATCTTACCCTGCTAATATATACAAATGAAAAAGGTACACACACACACACAGAGATATGCCACATACAAATACAGTTGTGCTAACGAGATTTTTACTGTTTTATAAAAAATAAAAGGTCTAATCAACACTATTTACATTATAAATGATTCTCAGTAGTCTTCCACTTTAAAATAAATTAGATTTTAGGACTTTTTGTAGATAAAACTTGATTTTTCAAACAATATTATGGCTAAAGTTTATTAATGTCCTTCTTATCTCCGTAATTAAATTACACTCTAAGCACAAATTCAAAATCAAAGAGAAAAAACATAACATTAAAAAGCAATTTCAGAGAAGAAAGATGAGGTTTAAAACTCATTGTATTCATAGTTATTGACACCAATATTTAGCAACAATGTCATTTTATTCAGTGTATAAGCTGTCAACTAAATGATGAAAAGATGTGATTAAATCTGGAAAATGTGAAACCAGGCAAATATATAAACATATTAAGTCAATAAGAAGAAGTACACTTATGTGAAGTCATAAAAACAAAAACACAGTAATTATATTCAGTGCAACCTCATTTTAATTGCAATTCAAAGTATCTCCTTTACAATACTGTAGCTTCATATTCTAATATAGGATGTGCCAAAAAGTTTTCATTTTATTAGACTTTGGATTTATATTTAGGTCAAGCGAAATTTTATATTGTTGCCAACCACTTAAAACTTCTATATAGTTTTTGTAAAATCCTTTATTATTTTAATAGAAATTGGAAAACGTCCTAAATTAGACATCTGCTCCTTTAACATTCATTCTGACAGTGGATTTGTTTTTAAGGAAGAAAAAAGTTAAAAGTTAAGATAGTGATTCTTTATTTCATATAAAACAGAATATAATAGGTATAGTAATTCCTGCAAAGATCATGCTCCACCCTACTTACAATATCCGTAATTGTCTTGGCACTAAACTACTTTCTTCATGGCTGTAAATGTGCAATTATTGTCATGTCTCGTGTTACAGTAATCACACATTAGTATGAAACATTAATATGAAGGGGTAACATGATTTCCTAGGGAGAAGAAGCTTGGAGAGACATAAAATTCATCTAATTTATATTTCAAAAAAATTTATTTGATCCAGACTCAATACATCTTAGAAAAACATGTCACAAAGAATTACTTAGGTTCTTTTAATCTCAGTATATTATTATCCCTCAGTGTTAGCTACATCACAGAATTGTTTCAAGAATTAAAGAATATATTTATAAAATGTCTAATCTGTAACAATAACTAATATTTAATAGGTGGGCAGTATATATAGCTTTCTTTCTTATGCATTATCTCCTATTGATTTAAGTAGTAAGTCGTCATCTCTTAGACAAATAACAGTGGTTCTGAATGAAAAAGCATTATTTCTAAAGTTCCAAAAGACAGAAATGAGAAATTAATATTTATGAGCACTTCCTCTGCATTTGGCATTATTTTTTATATTACAGAGACCAAAATAAAATTTTCAACTTTCCTAGTTTGCCCACCATCAAATCTAAACCTCCCCAAGCCTTTGGGAAATAGGAAGTACATTTGCCTAGTTGTCCAACTTAAAATATTGGAGCCATCTCTGAGGCCTCTTTCTTCTTCATATTCTTTCCCTTTCCAACTTGTATAACTTACCAACAGCACCCCCAACATCCATCTTCGTTCCCTTCATCCTGACTGTAACTACTCAGAACAGACCAGCAGCATCCTTTGCCTGAACTATAACATATCATATAACTCCCTGCATTATTAGGTTCTCCAGAGAGAGAACAAATAGGATGAACATATAGAGAAACGTGGATATATGACAGATGACTTATTGTGGGGATGATCTCACAAGAGTATAGAGGCTAGGAAGTCCCACAATTGGCCCTTTGCAAGCCTGAGAAGTCAGTAGTGTGGCTCAATATAATTCCGAAAAGCCTTAGAACCAGGGAAGCTGATGATGTTAACTCTCAGTTCAAGCCTGAATGCCTGAGAAATTGAGGGAATGCAGGTGCAAGTCCCTAGTCCAAAGGCTGAAGAGCCTGAAGTTCTAGTTCAAGGGCAGGAGAGGGTGTCCCAGCTCCAGAAGACAGAGAGAGAACTCACCTTCCTTCTGCCTTTTTGTTCTGTCTGGGCCCTCAGCCAAATTGGATGGTGGCAGCCCACCACATTATGTGACAAGGATCTTCTTTACTCAGTCCAGTGGTTCAAATGCCAGTCTGTTTCAGAAACACCCTCACAGACATACCCAAAAATACTGCTTTAGGTGTAATGGGGATCCCTTGATCCACTCAAGTTGACACCTAAAATTAACCATCACATGCCCCTTCTTAAAATTTTTCAGCATCTTTTATTGAAACTCAAACTCGATTATCTTAGGAAACAAGACTATAAGATATGGGTAATATGTGCTTTTTTTTTTTTTTTAGGCAGAGTTTTGCTTTTGTCGCCCAGGCTGCGGTGCAGTGATGCAATCTCAGCTCACTGCAACCTCCACCTCCTGGGTTCCAGCGATTCTCCTGCCTCAGCCTCCCGAGTAGCTGAGATTACAGGTGTGCACCACCACACCTGGCTAATTTTTGTATTTTTAGTAGAGACGGGGTTTCACCATGTTGGCCAGGCTGGTCTCAAACTCCTGACCCCAGGTGATCCACCCTCCTTGGCCTCCCAAAGTGCTGGGATTACAGGTGTGAGGTACTGCACCAGGCCAATGTGTGCTTTTATGACCTCATGTTTGCATGTCTGTGTATATATATATATTGTTTGTGATGATGCCCAATTTTTTCTTCTATTCAGATCTTGTTAATTTTATCATTTCAAGTCATGTATTTCTTGCCCTGATTCTTTGAATATCTGGCTGTGCAGATAATTTGTGTCTTCGTTTAAATGTGTACATATACACTCATGATGTACACACATATTAATAGCAGCATTATTTGTGATTATCCAAATTTAAATAGATACAATGTGATAATAATAAGATAATAATAAGATATTTATATGGCAATAAAAATAAATGAAAACACTATTACTCACCGTAACATAGATGAAACTCACAAACGTAATACTGAGTAAAAGGAAGCAGGCAGACACTAAATAAGATATACTCTGTCATTCTACTTACATAAAATTTAAAATAGGCCAAACTGCATTAGCTTTAAGATTGTCAGGGAGAAGTCAGGATATAGCAATTGAGAAGGGCATGAGGAGGCTTTCTATATGAAGATTACACATCAATTTAAATGGTTTATTAAAATAACTATTGTTCACATTATTAGTAAAGAGAATGGAGGTGCCAAGATTAAGAATACACATGGTTTTGTAATTAGTTGGCAGCTATAAAATCCACATAAAGAATAATAGAAGTATATATTTTTAGTGAAGGCTGGGATGAGATTGTGAAGAATACTGAATTCTAAATTAGGGGTATAAATTTTAGCCTACATATAAGGATGAACTATTGGAAATTTTTATTCAGTTTTCCTACGTTAAGAACGTTGTCTCAAACCACAAATTATTCCCTCCTAGTAGATATGGTAATATATAATTCAGAAATGAGATTGATAAACTAATAATAAATATATAAAAACTTCATTATCAGGAGGCCTTGTTTCCATATGCACAGGTATTTCTGCTTCCTCCCTCCAGCACAGGTAAACAGCTAACTTCTGTCTGCACTGGCAGTGAGGCACAAAGTGTCAGTACCTGTTGCTCTAAGCTGGTGGACTCTAAGCCCAGCATTCACTCAGCAATCGGCTTTTCCCCACTGTCACTCAGAGAATGTTCTGTAAGCCTTCCACCTTAGGTAATAAAGTCTTGGATCCCACTGTTCCTATTTTAGTACAGACTTTTTTTTTTTTTGAGATGGAGTCTTGCTCTGTTGCCTAGGCTGGAGTGCAGTGGCTCCATCTTGGCTCACTGCAAGCTCTGCCTCCCGGGTTCATGCCATTCTCCTGCCTCAGCCTCCCAAGTAGCTGGGACTACAGGCTCCTGCCACCACACCCAGTTTTTTTTTTTTTTTTTTTTGTATTTTTAGTAGAGACGGGGTTTCACCATGTTAGCCAGTATGGTCTCGATCTGACCTCGTGATCCGCCTGACTCGGCCTCCCAAAGTGCTGGTATTACAGGCGTCAGCCACCATGCCCAGCCTTTAGTGCAGACTTCTATACACATCAGACTTAACCTCTCATTTAATATGGAGGATGATTCTTTCATTGTCTTATTTTGAATGAAATCACCCCAGATTTGGGGAATTTTCTTCTTACCTCATTTGCCGTTTATGCTTTATTTAGTATCTTACCACAACGTTCCTCAGGATCCCATCCTAAGTTTTTCTTTCTTTCCTTTCCACACTTTCTGAATTATCCTGTCCATTCCTGTCATTTTCAATATAAATCTTATGGTGATCTTTCCCTTGATTTCTGGCTTACACTTCACACTTGAAAAATTACAATCAGAAGCCATAAATCTCTTTCAATTAGCCTCAATGAAATTTGAATAACACCGTATGCCACATGCAAATAACAGGGAACTTGACAGGACACATGTGCTTTTGAGAATTTAAATCACTTAACGATTAATGTTTGTTTGGATAGAAAAGTAAGCATTTTAGTAAATATATAGCATTACTATATATTAATTTAAATCAATTTTGGGGGCTATTTTGACATCTTAAGATATATTTTTAATCTATTTACCAAACAGCAAAAACTTTCCCAAAGTATCAAAGTAATTTCATGTTTGTTTTAGTTTGAGTTTTTAGCTCTTTCTAAGAACTGTTGATTTACAAGCTTGTAATAATAAATGTTAACTTAGGAGTTCACTAAGAGTTGTATCTATTTCCCCCATAGATGGTTCATTTTGGTCATCAACACTATGATGTTAACTATAACCTCAGCAATATATTGCTAATATACTCAAATAATCATATTAAAAATTAATATTAGTAACATAGATAAAAAACATATTTACCTTTTAAAAAGTACAGATAAAATAAAGTGATGCTAATTCATTATTTTACCACACACAGATATCCATCTATGTATGTATGTTTGCATGTATGCACACATATGTATATAGATATATTAAATGACAATATTTTTATCTAGAATCCCCCTAGTTCTCTCAAAGTTCACTTATTAAAATGGAACTCCACATTTTGCTCCTGAAACGATTCCTTAGCAAATGTCTGTCATTCTAATAAATTGCATTGTCTTCTACCCAGTTAATTAAAGTTGGAACCTGAGTAACTTACAATTTTTTGATTTTTCATCTCCTCTATTCATTCCATTAGCATTTCCTCTTGCCATTTCTTTTTTTATTTTACCCTCTCCATTTCCCTGAAATTAATCTGCTCAAAACCAGAATATGCTTCTCCAAAGCTATTATTATTCATGCCTTATCCTGCATTACCCATCCCACAGAGAATCATCTAAAAAATATTTAGTTTCTCCACATCCTCACCAACACTTATCTTTCCTCTTTTTGATAATCTAACCAGTGTGAGGTAATGTCTCCTTATGATTTTAATTTAAATTTTCCTGGTGATTAGAAATGTTGAGCATTTGTTCACTTATCTGTTGCTCCTTCGTATGTCTTCCTTTGAGAAATGGCTGTTCAGATTCTTTGCCCCTTTTTAATAGGATTTTTTTTTTTGTTATTTAGTTTGAGTTCCTTTTGTATTGTAGATATGAGCCCCTACTCCAATATATAATTTGTAAATATTTTCTTCCCATCTGTGGATTGTTTTTCACTCTATCAATTGTTTTCTTTCCTATGGAGACACTTTTTAGTTTGATATAATCTCATGTGTGCATTTTTGCTTTCATTTTCCACGATTGTTGGGGTCATATCCAATAAATCACTGCCTTGACCAACGTCATAGAGCTTTTTCCCTATGTTTTCTTGGTAGTTTTACACTTTGAGGTCTTACATTTAGGTCATTAGTCTATTTTGCATCAATCCTTGTATAAGGGGTGAGAAATGGCCCATTTTCATTTTTCTTCATATATATATTGTTTTCCAAACACCATTTATTAAAGAAACTGCCCATTCCCATTGTGTGTTCTTGACATCTTTGTTAAAAATCAATTGACCATAGAAGTTCAGGTTCATTTCTGGGCTCCTTATTCAATTCCATTGAGCAATGAGTCTCTTTTTATGCCAGCATTATGCTGTTTTGATATCTATGTTTTTGTAATATATTTTGAAATCTGGTAGTGTGATGCTTCCAGCTTTGTTCTTTTTGGTCATGATTGCTCATCTTTGGCTAATAGATGTCTTTCATAGTTCTATTTGAACTTTAACATTCTCTTTTCTATTTTTTTGAAGAATGACATTGGAATTTTGATAGGGATAGATTAAATCTGTAGGTCACTTTAAGTAGTATGGACATTTTAACAATATGAATTCTTGAATTCTTCCAAGCTATGAACAGAGAATATCTTTTCAGTTATGGGTTTTTTTTTCTTCAATTTCCTTCACTGATGTTGTATGGAAACACTTGTACACTATTGGAGTTACTATAAATTAGTATAGCAATTTTGGAAAACAGTATAGATGTTTCTTCAAAAAAACCTAATATTATAATTATGTGATTCAGCAATCTTATTTCTAGGCATATCTGCAACGGTATTGAAATCAATATGTTGAAGAGATGCCTGCATTCCCATGTTCATTGTAGCATTATTTACAATAGCCAAGATATAAAAACAACCTAGGTAGCCATCAATAGATGAATGAATATTTATAATGCAGTATATATACATGATGAAAAACTATTCAGCCAAAAACAAAACAAAACAAACAACAACAACAACAACAAAGAGATGGGTGCGGTGGATCATGGCTCATGCCTGTAATCCCAGCACTTTGAGAGCCCGAGGCAGGTGAATCACGAGGTCAGGAGATCAAGACCATCTTGGCTAACACAGTGAAACCCCATCTCTACTAAAAATACAAAAAATTAGCTGGGCGTGGTGGCAGGTGCCTGTAGTCCTAGCTACTCGGGACGCTGAGGCAGGAGAATGGCATGAACCCAGGAGGCGGAGCTTGCAGTGAGCCGAGATGGTGCCACTGCACTCCAGCCCGGGTGACAGAGCAAGACTCTGTCTCAAAAAAAAAAAAAAAAAAAAAAAAAAAAATTGTGACAACATGAATGAGCCTGGAAGACCTTGTGACCTTGTGCTAAGTGGAATAACAAGGCACCGAAAGACCAATAGTGTATAATCTCACTTTTATTCGAAATCCAAAAAAGTCAAAATTGTGGAAGCAAAGAGAAAACTCGTAGTTATCAGAAACTGGTGGGGAAGGGGGTGGATGGGAAAAGAGGAAATGTTGGTCAAAGAGTACAAAGGTTCAGCTAGACAGGAGGAGTAAATTCTGATGATCTATTGCACAGCCATGACTGTAGCTAATAATAACATATATTTCAAAATATAAATACATACAATTATTGTCAATTTAAAAAATAAAAATTGAAATAAATCATTTATAATTGTATATAACTATATACTATATATGTACATATTTACATTTGGTAATGTCACTTTCTTTTCTAAGTTATTTGATGGTTTTTACTGTACTTTCTATAAAGTCTCAACTACCTATCATAGCCAAACAGGTCTGTGTAATCTACTTTCAACTGTTTTTTCCCAAATCAATACTTACACTCTTCTACTTGGTAAGCCGTTTCTTGTCAAAGTGTTGTGATTCTATTCCTTAAACGTCAAAGTCTTCCACACTCCACAATCTGTGAATTCACTGTTCTGTGCCTTAGGAATACTCTTAAAATATTCTAAGCTTAGCTGATTCCTAATTTTATAGTTATCAGGGCCAGTGTTTTCATCCAATAGATTCTAGCTCTCTACAGAGTGCAGACCTACTTAAATAGGTCTTCCTTTTCGTTCTCTTCCAACATCTTGTTTTTTTTCTTTATAGATATTATCAACCTAATTCTATTTCTTTGCTTTTTTTATTTTTTTCTTTATCTCTAAAATTTAAGTTCTTATAAGAGAAATAATCTTTTCTGTCTTGTTTAATAGTTTATTGCTAACATATAGCAAATATCCTAATGTGTAATAAGTGTATTCATTTCTTATTTCTTCTATAAAATGATATCACACACTTAATGGCTGTTAAATGGCTGTTAAAACAACAGAAATATATTACCTTAAAGTTGTAGAGATTACAGTTCAAAGTGGGTCTTACTGGGTTAACATCATGGTGTTGGGAAGCTGGGCTTCATTTCTTCTGGAAATTCTAGGGAGAATCTATTCCTTTGACTTTTCCAGCTTCAAGAGACTGCCCACATTTATAATTCATGGTCCCATCCCTCCATCTACAAAGCCACAAGGTTCGGGAGAGTGTTCGTCACTATGCTGTCTCTCTAGTTCTTTCTCTTTTGCCTTCTTCTTCCATTCATAAGGATCCTTCTAATTACATTAGACCTAGCTGGATAACTCATGATAATCTTCTCACCAATTAGCACTTTCATTTTATCTGCAACTTTATTTCCCAATTGCCATGTAATTTAACTAATTCACATGGTATTGAGAAGCAGGACATGAATACATTGGAGGCTTACTATTTTGTCTGCTGCAATAGGTAATCATATTTTTTTTTCAACAAGGGAACAAATGAGAAATTTTCCTTTAAGTATCTATGTATTTAATCTCTAAAATATATGGTTGCATTGGTGAGTTAGGTGACATTGTGCTACTCATAAGCATACATTCAAAATTAATGGAAATATAATTTGTAAGTTAAACACTGTTGATTGACAATATAATTCCTTATGAAAACAATAACCAGCACAAAGAAATAAACAAACAGAGTTATCTCAACTATTTACAATAGCCCAGGGCTGTGGACAAGTTTAGATCTTTGGAAAAAAAAACCTGAAAATTGATTTCTGTCTCCAGAAATGTAAGTAATTTGTAAAACCATGGCTAACTTATACAATCTCTCTATATGATTTGGCCACATTCTGAAAGCATAAAATAGGAATTTTAAAAAATTATTTCAATCCTATTTATGGTAAGTATTTTACAGAGGGTAGGTATCTATAAGTATTACTAGTAATTGTTGATGATATATCCTGTCATTATTATTACAGAATACTTGCCTGTAGAAATGTTTTTAATAGTTAGAATTACAGTACTTAGGAATGTTAAAATATCTCTCTTCAAAGCAAGTGTTTTCGTACAATCATTGATTTGGGAAGTTGTGTCTGTCAAAAGTGGGCTATAAGAAAGGGCTCTAAAAAGATTATTCTAGTTCTCTAATACACACTCTTTTCTCTCAACTGTCAGTTTCATCCTTTAACATCTGCTCTGAAATAATTTACCATTTCAGCTCTGTTCAACTTCCAGAATTTGTGACTCATTATGCTTTTCTTAATCACTTCCAAAAAAGTAGTCATAATCTCCCTCAATTGCTTAGGGGAGAGGAAGTAAAACACATCTATTCCTTTTCATCACAATTTAAATTGGATGCAATATTATTTCTAAAATGTATCAAATCATGCTTATAAAAATAATTTTCAAAAGATGACAAATTAAAACACATATTTTTACATCTCTGATAAGAAGGCATTGTATCCATCAGTCTTTAAAAACCAAGAAGACAAATTTTGTGATCATTTATTTTACCCAACTCACTCTTCTTTTTTGTGTGAACTGTGAAACATTTGATGTCCCATAAAAATTCTTTCTTGTATAGGCATGGGTGTTATTTTATAACATTTGTGTTATAAAACCTTATAAACACTTTATCTGTTCTACACTTTGACTTCACTTTATCTGTTCTACCCTTAGACTGTATTTGATATTTTGAAGGGTTTTTTTCTCCTTTTATTATTTAAGTTGTTTTTCCTTTTTATATGAGTAATAAATATATGCAGTTTTAAAGTTATATAGTGCTGTAAATTAATTGAAAAAAATAGCAGAAGCTCCTTGATGTTTTTTCTCCAAACACCATCCCGCTTTCTAGAGGCAGTACTTTTCACTGTTTTACTGTTTTCCAACACTGTTATATCTTTATTTACAATGTGCATATTAGACATTATTATTCAGCTTCCTGCTATAAAAGATTAGGAATTTAGCTTGTTTGTATTCTTAGCACTTTCCTACCCAATAGCTATGTCCACATTTTTGTTTGAACAGAAAATCACTTTTAATATTATCATCCAGTTAAGAGTAGTACTTCATTTCTATTTTTTTTTTTGAATTGGACAACATAAGGCTTTTCAAATTGCCTACTTTTTGAAAAAAAAATTCTGTCTTATTATATCATTGCTTACTCACCAACAATTGCTCAAAAGTATTCAATATAATTTGATATTTAGTCATCCATCTCATGCATTATCACAGATTTTATTTTATTTTCAGGAAAAGGGTTGTTTTGTGTGTTCTTTGGTCTATTATTATAAAATTATTTAGGAAATCTTATAATTTTTTAGTTTAATTTTTATAGTATAATGTTTTGTAGTTTTTATTTGAAATCGTGATCATTAATAGCAATAGATCTAATTAGTAAAACTACTATCTTAATTTTACACAGTAAAGTCTAGAAACTACTTCCATAAGAATAATCTAATCTAGTCACGTTATTATCATTACGTTTAATGTCACATACCATCATGAGCCATTTGCTTTTAACTTGAAGCTTTCTAATGCTATTTCCATTCCCTTTATTAGTAAAAACCCTAAATTTGTCTTCACTGATTCACTTACTCCATCCACCCCAGATAGACATTTTACACCCTGCACATAAAAGAATAATCATCTTTTATTTCCTAAATTATTTAGATTTCCATTCTCTGAGACTGCAAGTTCAACTCTTCTCAGATCTTCAAAGTCTCCTACCACCACCTTGTTTACACTACTGATTTTGCTTCCTACTTCACTGAAGCTTCTGTTTCTCTTTAGTTGCAGAACTCCTTCAAAAAGTCTTTATATATTTACTCTCTCAAAATCTTCTTACCCTTTTCTTTCTAAAATATATTACATCAGGCTTTTGCTCCATTACTCCATGATGTCCTTACATCGAGATCATTTGTGCCACATGAAGCTAAATAAGATATGGCCAATTCTTGTTTTTCATATTCTCTGCTGTCTCTGGAGGACTTGATACTTTTGTTCACTCACTTTCTGTACTTATCTTCCTAGGCTTGGCAATATAATGGATTTCTTCTTATCACCTTGACACTTCCTTTCACATCTACTCCTCACTCCCCGAAGGCTTCACGTTGGAAAGGTTTAGAATGTATTTCTCAGAACTCACATCTTTTATCTCTTGAAACTATAAATATAATCGAGATGCTGATGACTCCCAAATGTGAATTTCTATGTTTATCCACTAGACTGAATTTCAGCCTTGTGTTTCCAACTGCTCCCACATCTTCACTTGAACTTTTTAATTGGCATCCAAACTTATCATGTCAAAACTGAACTTGAATCCTCATTCCTGACCCATCCGACATGGTCCTCTTGCAAGCTTTCTGCTATCAGTCAAGGGCCGGTTTCTTAGGCCACACAGGCAAATCTTGTAGGTTTACCTTTTAAATAAATATACCAAGACCCTGAATGCTTATTACTGCCTTAACTGCTTACGTCCTCCTCACTTTGGTTCAAGCCAGTATCAGCACCTTCATCTGCACTTTGTTCAAATGTGATGGATATTGTGTATTATATGTAAACTTATTAGACTTTAAATATGATGAGGCCAGGGATCTTTGTTTTGCCCAATGACATATATCAAGGGGTTAGATAGTGACTGAATTAAGTGTCCCATAGATATTTGTTTGATGAATATTTTGTTGTTGTTGTTGTTTTGCTTGGTTTTTATTGTTTGTGTGTGTGTGTGCATGCATGTGTACACATATGCTGAAACCACTAAATAAATTACCTCATTTAATCTTCTTCAATAGTTCTGCTAGGGGAAAAATTGAGATAATTATTCTCTTGATATACATGAAAAATAAAACCTTGCCTTAAAAAGTCATTTGATAATTTCCAGATATAAGATTCAAATTTGGTCTATGTGTATCCAGTTCAGTCTATGGTATTACTCTATGATTGTCAGTTTATTACATGAACATACTTTGATATATCTTAGATGCTTCACAATAAACACAGGAGAGAAATATAATAACCGCCTTCTCTTACAGATAAAAATTATCACATTGAGATACTAATTTACCTGCAAATCTTCACAAAAGTGATGAAACCAAGATTTCTACCTTGGGTTTTTGACTTTAACAACATGATCCACTATAATGGCAATATTTATTACAGTGGAAAATATAATACATTGTTATCTAAAGAGAAGTATTCATTAGCCTAAAGATAATGCAAATGTTACTTAGCTGCTATTTGTATTACCAAATGTTTGTTAATAAGCACTATTTGTGGATTAAAATAAATACACGCTCTATTATTACAGAACTTAGAAAAAGTTTCCCTGAAACTCTGTTAAATAATCTGGTATGGCACTTAGGCAGCTATAATAACTTTGATCTTATGTAATAACTTAGAACTATGGCCTTCCAATATTTTGCTCAACTATTCCTAAAAATATTTTTTAAAACCATGGTATCAAAAAATTTGCATAGCATAAATATTTACAAAGAATGTAACTGTTAGCGTATTTTAGATACTACATAACAATCTGTTTTAATGCTAGAGATGTATATATTCAAAGAGGAATGCAAAAGACTGAAATTTGTGATCGGCCAAAGATAAACACTTCAATTATAAAGTGACAGTAAAATGACTGTGAAAGAGGACTTGTAAAAACAGTCCCAGCATGTTGCCTCCATTAGAAACGCATTTTAGGCACTTCAGTTTTAGGAAAACTATGAGGTTCTGAAAATATATTCCCTCTTATTATCCAACACACTTGGTAAACTCTTGATGTACTTACAAGGGTATCTATGCCCAAGTTCGAAAAAGCTATTCCAGAAAATTGAGACTTACCAAGCTTTTAACAATAAGTGTTTTTTGGTACCCAAACTATTCAGGAAGAAGCAATATCAAAAATAGAATGCAAACATAAAATGTTTTTGATAATTCAATTTTGGAAAAATTAACCTGAAACGGATGAAGAGTTTAACAAAGAAAAAAAGAAGAAAAAAAATTAATGCATGAGTGACTAACCTCTGTGTTGAGATATCTTTAAGCAATTCTAAGATCAATTCAGAGGTGGGCAATTATAGCAACACAAAATTATACACAGATGGAGTTATAAAAAATAACTACTTTGGCTTTTTCTCATTTTTTTCTAAACAGACACAATCCTAAGTATATGAGGCACAATACTGTATAATAACCAAAAGTACCACTCTGGAACTGCACTGCGAAGGGATGAGTTCTGGCTTTGTCATTTGGGGGCAGTTCTCAAAATTCTCTTCTACTGAGTTCCTTCATATATAGATGTATGATAATGAAATGCTACCTCAGGGGATTGATATGAGAATTAGAGGATGTACTAACTATATTATTCTATATTAATAGAAATGCTTAGAACATCACTTTTCCCATCATAAGGAAAATGTGAATGTTATTGGTATATTATCTTATTATTATTTATATGCATATGAATATCATGTCTATCAAAGGAAATGTAAAACACATACTAAATATACGTATTTATTGTGCATATATTATCTATTAAAGTATACATATTAAATACATAAATGATATTCATTGTTTATTATATCAAATGAGAACTACTTAGTTAACTGTAGAATTTCTATATGTGGTCTCTGCAGTTTTCTCTGATTATCCCAGAGTGGTTAATAAAAGATATTTAGGTGCTGATGTTTCCTAGGTGTCTTAGTCTGTTCTGCATTGCCATAACAGAATACCTGAGACTGGGTACTTTATAAAGATGATAGATTTATTTGGCTCATCATTCTGGGGGCTGGGAAGTTCAAGAAGGGTGGCATCAGCATCTTGATGGCTTCTGGTGAGGCCCATGTCATAACATGGTAGAGAAGAGGAGAAGAAAGCAAGTGTATCAAAAGGGACCAAAAACAAGAAGCAACCTCAATTTATAAAATCTGCTTTCACAATAACTAATTCAGTCCTGTAAGATCTAGTTCATTCCCTGGAGAACTAACCCAGTAACTCCGTAAATATATTGTTCTAGTTTAATAAACTAATACCCTCTTACAAGCATCACCTCCCAACATCTTTATATTGGCGATTCAATTTCAACATGAATTTTGGCAGGGACAAACCACATCCAAACAACAGCACTAAATATCTAAATTTATACTGTTAAAATATGGCCAGCTTTGAAATAGAGCTCAGTTAATTGAATTGGTCAATTATAGATTGGTTAATTGTTTAATTTTTTAAACTACATATATATGTCAAAATATAACAGGAAAGTTTATTTCAATTATTAGAGTATAATTAATAAATCACTATTTTTTTAAAAAGGTTAGTGTCCAGAGTATAAAAATACTTATTTAATATACAATTTTACATATTTATATTCCCAGAAAAAAAAATCACCCTTTTAATTAAGAATTTAGAATTTAATAGCTAGAATTTAAATTTCCCCAGTGAAAGATTGAATGAATATCAACTTTAATACATGTTAACTTTTAAAGAATACTAATGTCAAAATTCATGAAAACAGGAGATAAACCAAAATATGCAGTAAACCATCACTTGGAACAGATCTTTTGAGAGAAAACACTGAAAGTTGATATAGAGATGATGTAAACACCATGGTTGAAGAAGAAGAAAGCTGGGAAGCATGCTTAGAAATGCTGGGTGTCAGGACAGGCCCCAGCCTTAAACAGACTTCAGGAAGGGGTGAGTAAAGGAACTCCAGGACACCATAGTCCTGCTGCAGACCTCTGGAATCCTAGCTGCAGGAGTTTCCACAACCCCCATAGACATTTGAATTGTCAGAGAGAGCCAACTGGAGATCAGGCAGAGGCATGGCTCAAACTCGCACAGAACCCAGAAGGTTTCACCGCACAGTACAGTTGCAGCAAACTGTGACATAAGCATCCATACACCAAGGCTCTCCATCTTATCTATACTCAGTGGCTGCACCTCCTGCTGTGTGGCGGACTGAGAGAGAGCAGGGCTGTTATTCCCACGGGCAACAGCACATTCAACCCATGTGTCTCCTCACCTACCAGCCCCTCCCAAGACTACTTGCCTGATTTCTTCCATGGGAGAGTGCCTGCAGCATGGCCTACACTTCCTTCCTGAGTGTTTTGCTGGTGGCCTGAGAGCAGTATGGCGCCAACGGCACAGCCAGTGCTTGACCTAACAGGCCAGAGGACAAATCTTCAGTCCCATTCCCAACTCCCCAGGATTCAAGCACACCTCCCAAGAGTATTGAACTTAGTTCTGTGCCCTGAGCTCGGGCAGGGGAGGAGTCTCCACTCTTAGAAAACAGAGAAGAGTGTGCTGTAGGTTCGTGTACTGGTGCGGGAGCTGGTCATCCCTCACTATGCAAGACTGATCTGGGAAAAGGGTAGCCTGGTAGCCAGCCACAACTTCTTTCCCAGGGAAACCCATGGCTTGGAATATCGAGAATGGCTCAACAATCTGCTTCAGACATTTTGGGACAAACCCAGAAAGTCGAGCTTCCTCTTGTGATAGATGTTGGAGAAAGGCCCACTGGGTGGGAGGAGCACGAGCTGGGTATGCCTCGCAGCAATCTGAGAAGCCAAAAACTCCAGGCCAAAGGCACCATCCCAGTTGCCTGGGGATCCACGGCACTTGACCCACTGCACCACCCACTAGCAGACACACTCCACAACCCACTCTGACTCCCTCAAGCACAGAAAACTTGTGGATACACAGGGAGTTAGGGGTCTCCAAGTGACCTAACCCTTGGCTTGGACTGCCCTTAAGGAAACGGGAAGTGCAGTGTTTGAATCCTCCCCTTGGGACAAAGAAAACATGGGTGTGGTGTCAGTAGTTGAAGGAGATACCATCAAGAATAGACCTGGGAGAAACTACTTTCACCCTCTGCCTCCCCTCCCCAGAACACTGCTGTATATGCAGTGAAATTCATAAGAGGCATGTGCACTCAACATTGGACACCCAGATTCATAAAACAAGTACTTCTAGGCCTAAAAGACTTAGCCACACCACAGTAGTGGAGTATTTCAACACCCTACTGACAGTGTTAGATCATCAAGGCAGAAATCTAATAAAGAAATTCTGGACGTAAAATTGACACTTGACCAATTGAACTTTTTCTACAGAATTGTCTACCAAACAATGATTTTATCAATTTTTTAAATTTATGAATAAATATCAATTTATCAATGATTTTATTATTATGCATTGTATGCATGTGTTGGAATATCATTCTGCATTCTATAAATATGTACAACTATCATGAGTCAACTAAAAATAAAAGGATACACATATGCGCAAATTAATGAAAGCAATAATAGTAACAATCGGATATCTAACTGGATGTTTTCCTGTATTTCTAGTATACATATCTCCTTTATGTAATAACTAAAATATTTTGGGTTAACTTTTTGTAGTATACAATAACGTGAGTGGCCTCTTACATGGAACAGTACAGGAGGTTAGAAAACTGCTTTTTATCACTAATAATTGTTTATTTGGGCTCTTAAACTATTGAAAAGCTCTGCTAATGCAAATGAAGAACCAACAGCAGAAGAGGATAAGATTGTAAATTTTTATACTACTGAAAATGGAGAATATGATGGAAATTTATTGAAATAAATTTATTAAAATTTAAATACATTTCACAGTTTTAAACCAAATTAAATTCTAGGCAAGTAAATAAGACTGAAAATTTGTTGCTGTAACCTCTTCCAACACACACTGAAATAAATTTTTAACTCACCATGAGAAATTTTCCACTAGATAATAAATACAAAACTAAATAGGAAACAGAAATAAGAAATAAATATTTAACTTCAAAATTGGTTAAATGTAACATTGTTTCTAAATAATCTACCTGTCAAGATCATCGTATATTTGCTCTTGGAAGTAATTTTGGAAAATGTGGTTTCAACATGATGAAATAAAGAATTCCCTGCCCCTTTATTATTCTTAAAATCAACCAGAATTGTAAGGAAAATCACAAACAAAACCTCTTATCTTCAGATAAAACTTGTCACCAAAAAATGACAATGTATAAGGTTTAAGTGTATTTTTAATCACTTGTTTTCTAACAAAAACTGAGCCAAAAAATTGAGGATCCTAAATAAGCAGAAAAGAATGATAACTGAGAAAATCCAATAGTAGTATCATAGAACAGATTGGCACTTGTTACCATTGTGTAATCTAGTAGGTTTGATGAAACAAGAAAATTAAAATAGGGGGACTAGGTTAAAACTCTGTTTAAAAGGGTAATTTTATGTGGCGTTCCTCATCCCAGCAGCCAATCTGCTCCTTCCAGGAGCACAGATTTTCAGAAAGTCTATTATCTGTAGACATTAAACTCCAGACTCTAGATTTAGCAACATCATGCACGTTTGAATGAATACTGGTATCAGGCATTACTGAATGTAAAGACTCCCAAACTCTCTTCACCTTTCCAGCACCATAGAACTGACAGACAAAATTTTCCAGGTAAGAATTTCGCTGAGATTTTACTTAAGAGAAACTGTATCATATGGAGAAACTGCCTAAAAATAATGGTATAGGCAGATTCTCTGAGAAACCTAATGTCTCTCCCTTCAGTATATTTTATTCTTTGAAAGTATCATACATGCTTAGACAATTTCCAGTAAAAGTTTTAGGGACTATTAAATACAAAAGGATAACAAAACATCACCCAAATTTTGAGGGAATCTCCCAATATGAAAGAATGACACTGGAAACTAACAAACACACACAAATTTTAAAAGGTAATTTATTGGGAACAGAAGTGAAGAAGCTAAAGAGCAATTCAAAGTAACTATATTCAGAAAGATAATAGAATAAATTGTACTCATGAAACAAGATCGAGAGACTTCCTTCAAAAAACAAAAATCAGAATATAAGGAATACCTTCTATAAACAAATAAATAATATTGCTGGTTCGGTAGGTAAATTTTTAAAATATTCCAAGACTGTAGAACAAAAATGAACAAATATGGAAAATAAGGACAAACTTGTATAAAATTAAATGGTTAATTCATACGATCAACCTTTAACCTAATAAAAGTTTCAGAATGATAAATGAAGAAAAATTACAGAAGACAAATTATTCAATAAACAAAAGTGTAAACGGCAGTTTCTGGCACTTTGTTCCATAAAAAATTGCCCTCTGGATGTGTAGCACAATTAATTAAAAACACAACCACAGTGAGATAAATATCTTCATTTAATGCCAAAGCACCTTCTTAATAAAGAGTATCCACTGGAAAATACAACTAACATAAAATTAGCAGGAATAAAATAGCATTAAAGTTCTCAATAGCCAATGAAATGTAGAAAACAATAATGATGAGTCAAAATTCAGACAATTTAAAATGATAGTTTATTAAAAATTTGTATTTACCATAATATAAAGTTAATTGATAATTTCCAAAATTTAAGAGTCAACAGAAATCAGTTTACTAATAGTGTTTTACCCAGGATATCTTTTTTCTTTTTACATTTCATGTTGTATACTTGATCCATAGATCCCAGGTCTGCCTCTTTTCTGCTTTTTAATTTTGTTACATCTTCAATTTTCTTCCTCAAATAAGATGCACTGGGAATATGTTTTTTGAGACTTTACTTGTTTAAATATTTTTCACCACTCATATTTTTTTAAGAGTTTGGCTGGGAACAGAAACAGCTAAAAAGTGTGAAAATGATGATGGAAGAGCATGTGATTTCACTTTCTTAAAAGAAATTGTTTAGCTCTCTTTGATTGACTTAACTATGATTATATAGCAGGTTAATACAAAATAACAATTACAATTGAAATAAAATGTTAAATGCTTTCACCATGTTGGCCAGGCTGATCTGAAACTCCTGACCTCAAGTGATCCTCCCGTCTTGGCCTCCAGAAGTGCTGGGATTACATTCATAATCCCTGAATATCTGGAGTTGTAGAAAATGCTTCCACTGGTATGCTATATCAAATTGCATGGTGGCATAAATATTAACTAAAAATGTGCTATTTTACTTTAAGTTAAACCATTAGTCCAATTTTCTATATAGAAACAATGGGAAAACATGATGCTCCCACTTCAATATGAAAGTAATATTAACAGAAAAATTTAATTAATTATTTATTCTTTTAGAAATTTTTTTTGAAAAGTAAGTTCTCAGCAACTGCAATCTGTGCAGATTGTACAGTGGTAAGCAAACCTTTCATAATCCCTGAATATCTGGAGTTATAGAAAATGCTTCCACTGCTGTGATATATCATATTGCATGGTGGCAACTTATTGATGCAAGGACAGGACACTCTAATATTTGTTTATTTTTCTCCTTGAGTTATTAGTTTTAACTTTTGAAGAGTGACAGTGTGCAGTAGGTGGCTATTAAAAGTTCTATGGTAATAAATAAATGATTTAGTTAGGTCTCAGAGTGTTTTCAAAACCACAATAGAAAAGAAAAATGCCAGTCACATGTCATCACTTGAATTCAGTCCCATTGGAAGGTTCTTGTCTTTGCTTCTATTATTAGTGCAGGAAAAATTCTCTACTTATTTAACTACAGGGTAGGCAGATTAGTCCTTAAAGATGCCAAGTCCTAATCTCCAGCACCTGTGCCTCCATGGAAAAGGAGTTTTTGCAGAAGGAATAAAGGTTAAGAATTTTGAGATGAAAAGATTATACTGAATTATCTGAATAGACTCAATTTAATTTCATGAGTTCTAAAAAGTAGAAAGCCTCTTGCTGCTGGAAAGATCCAGAGAGATGGCCGTATAAGAACTCGACCTAGTGTTGCTAGCTTTGGAGATGGAGAAAGCTGGCCAGGATCCAAGGAATGCAGGTATCTTCTAGAAACTAGTAAGGGAATAAATTTACCCTTGAGTTTCTGGAAATAAAGGTAACTGCTGTCACAAAGATTTTAACCCTTTGAGACCCATATCAGACTTTTGACCTATAGAACATAAGATAATAAATTTAAATTGATTTATGCTACTTAATTAGCAAAACTTTGTTACAGCAATCAAATAAACTACTACAAACTACTTTGAGACTTTTATAATGTAATCATCATAATACATTTAATATTTCATGTGTTTTTCTCTTAAGTCTCAGAAAAGAAGAATATATACATTATTGGGCAACTATATTACTCAGGCTGATGAATATCTCTGATATTATAGAAATTTTTAAAGTTACTTTGAATTTTACTTCCAGCTATAGTATACTAGCACACCAATGTTCCTGCTGAAACATCTAGAAGAGCTGAACAAATTACAAAATAAAGTATCTGTAGGCACTGCAGATCTGCTAAGCCAGATGGACCTTGGAGAGCCAATATCCTAGAGGGAAAAGAAAGTCAACAAGCAAGCCAAAACTTTTATGTCATTCATGTCTTCCTGAGGCATTTTCTCATTAATGTTTGATGCGGTTAGAGAAGCTGAGAAGCCATTTAAAAAGTCAATTGTTAAGAGAGATAATGAGTAAGTTTGGTTCCATTTTTCAGGGCTTGGAAGTAAAAAGATGGAATATAAGGCTAAGAGGAAAACCAGGGCATGAGGAGTCAAGATTCCCAAGGGAATCTCCAGGAATTTAGCCTGGTGTCATATGCTACTTTTCAGTGCTTAGGTGGGGTCTCTGTGTGGGTGCTCCAACCCCACATTTCCCTCCACACTGCCTTGGTAGAGGTTCTCCATGAGGGCTCTGCCCCTGCAGCAGACTTCTGGTTGAGTATCCAGGCTTTTCCATCCGTTCTCTGAAATCTAGGCAAAAACTGCCAAGCTTCAATTCTTCCACTCTGTGCACCTACAGGTTTGACGCCATGTAAAAGCCACCAAGGCTTATGGCTTGCACTCTCTGAAGCAGTGGACTGAGCTGTAGCTGGGCCCCTTTGAATCATGGCTGGAGCTGGAGTGGCTGGGATGTAGGAAGCAGTGTCCTAAGGCTACACTGATTAGCAGAGCCCTGGGACTGTTCCACAAAACCATTCTTCTCTCCTAGGCCTGTGATGGGAGGAACTGTGATGAGAAGGTCTCTGAAATGCTTTCAAGGCCTTTTTCCTACTCTCTTGGCTAATAGTATTTGCCTTCCTTTTAGTTATGCAAATCTATGCAACCTGCTTGAATTCCTCCCCTGAAAATTGGTTTTCTTTTCTAGAGATGGCCTGGCTACAAATTTTCCAAACTTTTATGCTCTGCTTCCCTGTTTTACATAAGCTCCAGTTTCAGGTCATTTCTTTGCTCGTGCATATAAGCAGAGGTTGTTAAAAACAGCCAGGCTACATCTTGAATGCTTTGCTGCTTATAAATTTCTTACACCAGATACCCTAAATTGTCACTGTCATGTTCACAGTTCCACAGATCCCTAGGGAAGGGGCACAATGCCTCCAACTTCTTTGCTAATGGATATCAAAAATGACCTTTTATCCAGTTCCCATTAAGTTCCTCATCTCCATCTGAGACCACCTCAGGCTGGACTTCATTGTCTATATCACTGTCAGCATTTTGGTCACAACAATTTAACAAATCTCTAGGAAGTTCCAAATTTTCCCTCATCTTCCTGTCTTCTTCTGAGCCCTCCACACTCTTCCAACCTCTGCCTATCACCCAGTTCCAAAGCTGCTTCCGCATTTTCAGGTATCTTTAAAGCAATGCCGCTCTGCTCAGTACCAATTTTCTTAGTACAGTCTCATATTGCTATAAATACCTGAGACTGCATAATTTATAAAGAAAACTGGTTTAATTGGCTCACAGTTTGGCAGGCTGCATATTAAGCAAGCCAGCATCAACTCAGCTTCTGGGGAGGCTTCAAGAAACCTACAACCATGATGAAAGGCAAAGAGGGACAGAATACCTCACATGGCCAGAGCAGGAGGAAGAAAGAGTAGGGGAAGGTGCCACACACTTTTGAACAACCAGATCTCACAAGAACTCAGAACAGTGCCAAGGGGTAACTCCTCCCCAGCAATCCAATCACCTCCGACCAGACCCCACCTCCAAAACGGGGGATACAATTTGACATGGGATTTGGTGGGCATGCAGATCCAAGCCATATCAAATATCTTCTTTATTAGTTCTATAAGTTCATTTATATGTTTATTGTTCTAATCAGAAAAAGGTTCAAATTTAATGGTATAGATATTTATAAACTTTGAATATGGGTTCATTGAAGTAGAAATTTTTTATTAAACACCCTGGTACAAAACAGAGTTTTGCTCATTCTCTGTTATTTGGGAGTTAAATTCTTTTGATGTAAATTTTTTTCTCCTAATCTAGGCAATTGATGACGATAACATGAAATAAGAACATATTTTCAGTTATAATTTTGTGTAAAAAGGGTCTTTAGAGATATGAACAAAATCAGAAAACATGTTTTGCTTATTCCAATTTTACTCTATTTCAAAAACTGTTTAATAGGTGAAATTTAAAAGCAACATTAATGCATGCTTAAAACAGCACATTGTACTTCATAAGTATGTACAATTATAATTTTTCAGCAAAATACTATAACTGATAAATTATAATAAATTAGCAAAATTTAAATTTAAAAAATTCAAGTATTTATTTGCCTCATAAACTAGCCTCAACTAAATTAGAATAAAACTTGATGTTTATGATTCTATAAAGGAACCACATGCTTTGATAGATTTAATATTGTTTTGCTGCATATATGGATATTTATTTGCTATAAAATGTATAGGATAAAATTGTCATCATGACCTTAACAGCCTCAAATCTATACATATAATTTAAACATTTGTTATAATGATGAATAATTATATTATTAAATAGATTTATTTTTGAAATATAACGATTACTGAATTAAGTTAAAATAATGCTTATATTTTGATATAATAATCATAAAGAAAGTAGAAGCTATTTTATTTTGTTAAAGTGAAGATATTTACTCCTTCTAGTTCAGCTTCATCAATTCCAGCATCATACTCCTGAAAAGGCACAAGAAAACTAAAATTAGATCTTTTCTGCTCCAACAGGGATAGTGAGACAGTTATTCTGATTCCTGGTTAATTAGGTTTGCAAACAAGTAAAGAGTCCTAAGTGACATATCAATTTCTCAGTAGTGCATTACTGAGGAGACATTTCTATTTTGTTTATTTGTTTGTTTGTTTGTTTTGAGACGGAGTCTCACTGTGTTGCCCAGGCTGGAGTGCAGTGGTGTGATCTCGGCTTGCTGCAACCTCCACCTCCCGGGTTCAAGTGATTCTCCTGCCTCAGCCTCCTGAGTAGCTGGAACTACAGGCACATGCCACCACACCTGTCTAATTTTTTGTATTTTTTTTGTAGAGATGGGGTTTCACTGTATTAGCCAGGATGGTCTCTATCTCCTGACCTCGTGATCTGCCCGCCTCGGCCTCCCCAAGTGCTGGGATTACAGGCGTGAGCCACCGTGCCCAGCCGACATTTCTGTTTATAATAAAGTGTTAAATAGGAGTAGGCATTACTCCCCATTTCTGCGCTAAAAGGGAAAGTGTTTTTATTTCACTGGAAAGGGTGGTATTTGCTGTAAAATAATCGTTTCATACTCTTTAGTACATTGAGTGTTTTCTTCTATTCCTTTTTTGTGAAAAAAATTTTCCCATGAAATAATAGCATATTTTATCAAATTATTTTCAATATTATATACTATGTCTCTTTTACCCTGTTAACAGTGCAAATTATATGAAATTGTTGAATTTTTAGATCCTAAATCAACTTTTATTCTTACAATCAACCATAAAGTGAGTATTACATTACCATTTTTATCCATTGTCTAGATTCAGAATACTGAGATTTCTTTACTGTTTTTGCACCTATGCTTATCAGAAGTAATAGCCAGTGATATTCCTCTGTATGTCCCTGACTGGTTTTAGCAAAAAGGGAATGATGATCTTTTAAAAATATTTAGTATTGTTATATGCATAAAACTTTTGTTTGATTAAAAAGTTAAGAATTTGAGTTTTTTTAAGTGAGATGTACAGATTCAATTTTATTTTTTAGTGCCTAAGATGCTGAATATGATGCTCTCTTTTACAATCTTAATATTGGTAACTTGTGCTTGGTTTTGCTTATTTGCAAATTTTTTTTCAGTTTCCCTTAAAATATTACAACTCTGATTATTGACATTTTTATTGTCTAATTTCTTTGCCAAATTTGTATTTATTGGATGTATTGATAATTATATTGAAATTATAAAAACTATTGATCTGATTGTAGGTTTGTGTTATGTCTTCTAATTCTCTCAGTGTTTCCTTTATATATGTTGTAGTCATACTATCATGTACATATATTTCTAAAATGACCATTTTATTATTTTGAAATAATCCACTTTTATCTAATTGCATTTTTCAGAAAATCTACTATGTTTAATAACAGCTAAGTAAGATTTCTTTTGTTAGTGTTTCTATAACTTTTTTATATTATTTGCTCTGTCTTTCTATATAAAGTTTTCCTTTTATGCGTCATATAGTTGAATTTTGTTTTTATCTTATCTGACATTTTTAAAAACTGTAATATGTGACCTGCTGTGGTCAGAATGTTTTTGTACCCTCCAAAATCAACCCTTTAGGGGTTGAAATTCTATCCTGTAAGGTCATGGTATTCAGAGGTGAAGTCTTTTGGAAGGTGATCAGGTCATGTGGGTGGAGCCCTCATGAGTAGGATTAGTGCCCTGACACAAACATTGAGAAGGCCCACTCCTATGAACCAGTCAATGGGCCCACAACCAGACACGGAGTCTCCCTGCACCTGGATCATGGATTTCTCAGCCTACAGAAATGTGATAATAAAATTCTGGTGCTTTATAAGCTACCTAGTTTATGATGCTTTGGTATAGCAGTTTGAGTAAACTAAAAAAAGATCCAATCTTTTTCAAAGTAATTACTGACATTTGCGATTCACATCTAGCATCTTCCTTTGAATATTTTCTTTTATTTTGATCTGTCTCGCTATACTTTAAGTTGTTGTTTTTGTTTCCTATTTTCTATTACATTGTTATTATTTCATTTTATTTTTGTTAGTTATACATTCTCTTTACAATTCATTGACTATGCTAGAGATTAAAATGTGCATCCTAGACTTACTAAAATCTTATAAAAATGAATAACTTTATGCTGTTCAGAGAAATGCAAGAATCTTCAAGTACATTAACTCACATTCTGTTATGGATCACAGCCTGTTTGGCTCCCTATATAATGGAAATTGACACAAGGCCAAGTAGATTTCCCAGACAAGATTCTATTTTGGGGCTCGTGCTCGAGTACAAGGAAAAACCCAGAGGTGCAAGAATTTTCCAGCTGGCTCCCCAAAAACAGCCCTAGTGAAAGTATGGAATTTAACATCAGGGGTAGGGTATGCAGGCTGGGTTAGGCAAAAGACATGAGGCGTGGGGTATGCAGGTCATCATATCTGGTTGTGATAGTTATATTGAGTGATGTAACTATAGTTTTATTAGTAACGGGCCACCTAGTTGTTCGGCCTGTGGCAAAAAGGCTATAAATCAATTGCTCAGCATTCCTTCCCTTGTTGGAACATTCCACAATCTTGATTTGATATTTGAATTGCCTAAAGCCAGTTTCTGGAATTCTTTAAGTAAAAGCCATATTTACACATTATGAGAGCAGAGAAGAACCACACATAATGACTACTTTCTTTGCATGACTATTAGCAGATATGGAATCAGTGAGGTAGTGGTCAATAGTGAGCTTTGTGATCAATAGGAGTGCATGAAAGAATCAGTGAGCTTTGTGATCAATAGGAGTGCATGAAAGAATGTTCTACTGGGGGTGAACTGAAGCTAAGCCCTGTCCCTAATCTTTCTCCTTCTCATTCACCCCTGGGAGATTTTATTCTCCTTATTATTTTTTTCTTTGTTAAATGGAGTCTTGTTCTGTCACCCAGGCTGGTGTGCAGTGGTGCAATCTTGGCTCACTGCAACCTCTGCCTCCTGGGTTCAAGTGATTCTTGTGCCTCATCCTCCCAAGTAGCTGCGATTACTGGCGTGCACCACCAGGTCTGGCTAATTTTTGTATTTTTAGTAGAGACGGGGTTTTGCCATGTTGGCCAGTCTGGTCTTGAACTCCTGACCTCAAGTGATCTGCCCGCCCCAGTCTCCCAAAGTGTTGGGATTACAGGTGTGTGCCGCTGAGTCCGGCCATTCCTCATTCTTAAGGAGAAAAGACAGTGGTCTTGTCTTTCACAGCTGCTTCCTGCTGGCCAGGATTGTCATCCCACCTAATTTTGGAGGTCACACAAAAAAATCTCTTGTTGACTGATTTAATGTTTTATAGGGACTTCATTCCTCCTGGGATGGAAGGGGTTGGAATCCCTGCATCACCATCAGCTTGATGTAAAGTATTGAAGCCTAAAAGACAAACTTTAATCATCTGTACCTCTGTTGAATATAAAAAATAATTATTTTAAAAATTGAATAACACCCAGAAATAGTTAATAAAATATTTAAGCTCAGTTTAACAATGCATATTAGAACCGATCAGGCTGGGAGAGGTGGCTCATGCCTATAATCCCAGCATTTTGGGAGGCCAAGGTGGGTGGATCACCTGAGGTCGGGAGTTCAAGACCAGCCTGACCAATATGGAGAAACCCATTTTCTACTAAACAAACAAAATTAGCTGGCTATGGTGGTGCATGCCTATAATCCTAGCTACTCGGGAGGCTGAGGCAGTGGAATCACTTGAACCTGGGAGGTGGAGGTTGCTGTGAGCCAAGATTGCACCGTTGCACTCCAGCCTGGGCAACAAGAGCGAAAACTTCATCTCAAAAATTAAAAAAAAAGGAACAGATCAGATGCTATTTGGAAGCTAAGTGAATAGGCTGGAAAACCAGACTCCTGTTGCCTGCAATATGAAGCTAAGAGTTTTAATAAGAGGCATTTCTATGGGGACAGATGAAAAACAAATGTTAAAAGTGGACATAATATATTTAGAAGTTAGATTGAAAGCATCTTTAGTTATAGAAGAGGAGGGTGATGACAATGTCCATGTTTTTCTCGCCTCTATTATCAAGAATAAGTTCAGCTTTCAGAGCCTCAGGAAAATGATAGGAACAATTTCATTAAGTGAGAAAAATAGAATACTTGTAACCTGGAAAAATTTCACGATCCAGTTAGTAAATAATATAAAACATTAAGAAACAACGGGAAACACTAGACTCTAATAACAGATGTAGTACAGTCTTTATCCAGTCTCTCGTTTTTATCAAAGACAAATCATGGTAGAACCAATTTATTTGGAAAGTAAGTTATAGTCTTATTACACTTAGCCTCATTATTTGCATAAATTGCAGCAGCAATAATTATTTTCCATATAGCCTTTCTCTGTTTTTTTTTAAATTGCCTTTGCTGGAACATTGTTTCATAAGGAATCTTTATAAATATTAGACTTTATAAAGCCTGAGCCCAGCCACAGATTTATCTGTGTCTCTAAATATCTGTATAAATTAGGTGAATTTCTCTCCCCATGAGGTCCCAAGGTAACCTGGGGCTCCTTGATCTATCAGAAAGTGGCATTCTTTACTTGTCACAGGTCAGAAATTTTGTACAGGACTGTGTAGACAAGGTATGAGGCCAGTTTCTCCAAGAGGCTTTTATCAGCTTTATAAGTCAACCTCAATTTTTTCAAAGCAGTCTGAAAGCATGCCACTTCAGTCAAAGCCTTAGTAAAAGCTCCAACTGCCTCCTGTTACAAAATAAAATATATTATTTTTGCATTTATGCAAACAACTATATTGCCATAAGTTAAGAATACTCACAGATAGTTTTAACATTCTGGATAAATCAGGTAGAGAGAAGGAAACATGCTCCACATTTTGCTTATGGGAGTATTTTACTCCATTTTTAAAAGCTGTAAATAATTTAAAAGGCAAAAATTTTATTTATTCTGAAAAGAAACAGAATCAATAACGTTTTAAGAAAAAAAGGTCATAAAAATATCATATCAATCTTCTTTCAGTTTAGTTCATGCAATTTACTCCTGCTCTGCTTGATATTTATGAATACATGAACTTTCTGAGACAGTCTTGGAAGCTTTTCCTTCTATTCTAATGTAACAATCTCTGTAGTTATCGGAGACCTGTATTCAAGAGTACGTTTTTGAGTGCTAACACTCATTATACATTGCCGTTTGAAAAGATCAAAACGAAACAACAATTGCCTGTGGATGACAAAAGTCAGAACAGCCTCAGTTAAAGACACAATCAATGAGAAAATCTGATCATCTCTGTGACACACAATAATTTAACAAAACAATTATAATTATTATTAATATATACTGAGACTTATCAGAATTATAAAAATCTAGTATAATTTTGGAATATATATTAGTAACATATTTATATAATTATAATTTAAAGACAGTTAAACACCATTTTATATTTTACAATGTTTTCTGTATTTCTTTTTTTTGAGATGGAGTTTTGGTCTTGTTGCCCAGTCTGGAGTGCAATGGCGCTATCTCAGCTCACCGCAACCTCTGCCTCCCGGGTTCAAGTGATTCTCCTGCCTCAGCCTCCCAAGTAGCTGGGATTACAGACATGCACCACCAGACCCAGCTAATTTTGTATTTTTAGTAGAGGTGGGTTTTCTCCATGTTGGTCAGGCTGGTCTTGAACTCCTGACCTTGGGTGATCCGCCTGCCCCAGCCTCCCAAAGTGCTGGGATTACAGGTGTGAGCCATGGTGCCAGCCTCTGTATGGTTTTAATTCACCAAATAAGCCTAATATGCGTTTTTTTGACTTCAGAAGAGCTAATACTTAATTTCATACTGGAAAGTTTGTCAAACATCAAAAGTTTTAAAACATTTGATATCACAAAATAAAATTCCAGATTACTATTAGTTATTTAATTGGCCAAAATGGTAACTAAAAATTTTAAAAATGAAAAACATTTACTCATTGATAAAGGAGAGACCCAAGCTTCCAAACAACAAGACCCAATCGAGACAGCAGGAGGCCAGTTGAATCTATCTGTTCTCTGTCCTTTCTTTTTTTTATAGTTTATTTAAAAGACAAACAAAAATTTTTCATTATTTTTAATATTAGCCAAAAATCTTGTTAAAAATAAACAAATGTATCCAATTTTAATTAGTTTAACCATAAGGTAATATTTCATAATCTACATAACCCTTTACACTTTTCATAAAAAAGTAGATTAATGCTTCACAAGAACCCTGTTTTCAGGTACAGGGGCCCAGATTCTGGGCCAGCATTAGTCTGCTTTGTATATTAATGTTCATCCCATAGAAAAACTGAATAATCCCCTTCAAATTTTTGCCAACTTGCTCAAACACAGACCTTCTTTTACAAGATTAATCTTTTATAAATTTTTTATGGCTTCCTTAAACCTTCACTATTATCCTTTTAAAAAAGAAACTTAAAACACCCTGAAAACCTCCAAATGAGACAAAATTATTTTCTCTTTAAAAACTCATTCCTCATGACTCTTTATAACATTTTAGCAAAAACACATAATTTTTATTTTAGTTAAAAACCTAGGAGAGAAGCAATTTTAATGATGTACCAGGTGCAGAGGCTAGGACACAGGACAGAACTGTAGATAATATCTGACTGTTTCCAACATACGTAGGGGGCATGGCTCATTCCACATGTCCCCAGGCCATACTAGAACCTAATGGTTCTTGAGCAGGTAAGATGAACAGTTATCAAAAGTTACAGAAGCAGTTTATAGCCTTAAAGCATTTAGCAAGACAGTGTCTGAACTGCCTAATTTATACCAAATGTCTAAATTTTGATGATATTTTTATTTCAATTTACCAACAGTCTTTAATACTGTCTTTATTTACCAGAGATTACTAAAGTTACGTCAACTAAAAGATGTTAAAGTTTCTATTTTTCAGACAGAATATTTAACTGCTTCTTTTTAAGCTAATTAATTAGAGATCTTTTATATACTTCGGTAGTAAAACATCACATACATAACACCTATAAATACTCGGAAAACAGACAGAAGTAGATTTGGTAGAGTTATAAGATTATTCCCTTGACAGTTTTTAAGATTTTTTTTTTCAATTTTAGACTATGTACTCTCTTGATTACCCTTTCCCGAATTAAAAAATTGTTAGCTAGGCAACTCCAAATTTCCATTTCTGAAGGCACAACTCAAGTAAAACAAGATTGAGAATTTATATTTTACTTAAACCAAAATACGTGAGTAAAAGTTCAGGTGAGATGGCCAGGAACAGCACACATCCTCACATGTGGAGATTTCTTTAAAGACGTCAATTTTTAAATTTGATTATTGGCTTTAGGGTGGAGCCTTTTCAGAAACAGGGCCAAGAAAGCATGCAGTTACTATGGCCTAATTGGAAGGCACAGCTAGAAGGCAGGACAGAACCCCCAAAATAAAAGATCTCATTTTTACACTGAATCCTGGGTCCCCTCAAAGAAGGAAATGCTGTGAGACAACAAATGTTACACTGTTGTTGGACAGTGCAGAATTTTCATGGTTCATTTTATTGTAAGGACATTTCTCCAAGGCTGCTAGACAATGCATGCCACTTAGCTTCTTCTGTAATCAGCCCATTTCATATCTTTTAGGTAACTTAAGAGCAGTATTTTTCTTCTTTAAATGTGAAAAAAGGAGTATCACCCTGTAGTAATAATCACTCACTTTAAGCAACTGCTATTAGCCATTTAAAAAAGTATATCTCTCCTTTAGCTACTACACATTATGATAATTTTTTTAAAATGCAAAGTAATTTTTGGCTCCCCTAAAAGTCAAAAAGATTAGGTATAAGAGGAAAAAGTGACAGATAGGGATAAATACAAAATTAGGCAGAATTCCCCAGACTGAGAAGATTTTATAGAAGGAGAACAGGGGCTTTAAAGCAATATCTGTATACATGTAGCCCAAATATCAGCCTTAATTAAGTTGACTTTTAACCACAGATCTCTCATAAGAAAAATGCTTTAAAATGTTTTATTACCAGATTTTAACCAGGGCAAACAGGTGATATTTCTGGATTTTGAATTTTTTTTTTCTAACCAAAGGTAACCTCCCATGTCAAATTAATAAGCCTTAAATAAGGTTATGACTTCACCACTGGTGCATGAGGTATTTTTAGAGGTGGCAAACAGTTTTTACAAGATTTAGAATCTCCCTAAAGGTAGCTCAGAGAAGGAAAATTAAAGTCAGGAAGTCAGAATTAGTTCATGGAGAGGAAAAGAATCAATAAATGACAAAGGTCGTGCAAATATCAAACCAGAAAGCACCCACCACTTAAGCCACGGATTGAACCCAAACCTCGGTAATGAAAGGGGAAAGCCCTAGCCACTGAATCACAGCATAGGGCAGTTGTCACTAGATTTTCCAGAAGCAATTTAGAGCAGGCAGTTTTGAGCTTCCAATAGACTTTGACTGCTTAAGAGAATTTTTAAGGCTAGCCATGACATTATCATGTGTCCTTTCAGACTGACTGCCTGACATGAACCCCAAAATTCCCATGCTCTGGATTGTGGAGACCAAGAGACAGTACTTCCACATGGCCACCAAGTCAAGTTCTCAAGCACATAAAACAAGACGAGAAGGAAACTTCATCCAGTTTTTCTTTCAGGGACCTGCAGCAAAGTTTTTACCCAACTAATGGGTTGGGCTGGCTCAAATAGTTGGCTTATAGGTATCCTAGGCTTATATTCTATTTTCTCTTACCCCTCTCCATGACAGAGTGACACAGAAAGACAAATTCATAGCACAAAGTACACTCATTCAATACAGCCTAAGGCTAATCTCATAAATCCTTTTTCCCATTAATGGAAACCTTGCAGAGGAGGCAAACAGTAATTTTTATCGTTTACTCATCTGGTTTGCACAGAGACTGAGAGGCCAGAAGCCTGACTGGTAAGAAATCTTAACCTCTTTGCTAACATGCTAGGTTTTGGGGTTCTCTTTCTCTGCAGCTTTCAGAAGAGCAGAGTGGGATTTGGGGGTTTTTTTTGTTTGTTTTTGAGATGGAATTTTGGTCTTGTCACCCTGGCTGGAGTGCAATGGCACGATCTCGGCTCACTGCAACCTCTGCCTCTGGGATTCAAGTGATTCTCCTGCCTCAGCCTCCCGAGTAGCTGGGATTACAGGCTCCCGCCACCATGCCTGGCTAATTTTTGTATTTTCAGTAGAGATGGGGTTTCACCATGTTGGCCAGGCTGGTCTCGAACTCCTGACCTCAGGTGATCCGCCCACCTCAGCTTCTCAAAGTGCTGGGATTATGGGCGTGAGCCACTGCGCGCAGCTCAGAGTGGGTTTTGATGATCCTGTTCACTGTGCCATCATTGTGGGGGCCAAACCACATTACAAAAGAAAATCATCCTTTTCTATTTCATAGAACCATAAGCAAAAGCCCCTTATTTTTGAAAGATGTCCCCCAACAGGCTGCATGAGGGAATAAGATGTTAAATTAAACCTACAAAAAGAAAAAAATTGATTGGGACCTGAACAACGCAAACGTCCCACCCGTGTGCTGTCAACTCTCTCCTCACACAGACAGCACCCAGAGTCCATAGGTACACATGCTGAAACAGGCAAACAACAGACAAGTCCACAGCCTTCCCTTCCCCTTCTCATCCCTTGTGGGGAAGGGAAGGCCAGTGGAGAAGTACTTAGAAGACAAAGGAGATGAACAGAGTTTCCCATGAGACCATGGGATGATCAGTCCTGGGAGTTAGCTGTTTCCACCCATTTTACACAAATTCTGTTCAAGATGAACCAATCAGCTGTTTCAATCCATCCCACGGGATGCCCATTCAGGTAAAGACAATGAAGTTAATGAAAATGGAAGAAGGCAAGAGGGAATAAAGAAGAAGGATAAAGAAAGACACAACAAATAAGGGACAGGAAGGGAGGCAAAGCTTTGTCTGGGAGATGGCAAAGAGTCTTCAGAAGGCGGGAAGAAAACTCACTTGTCCCAGCGATAGTGAATCAAAGATTCAGTGTCAGCCTGAAAGGCATCACACCCAGACCCCTGCTGACTCATAAGCCTCTCCTTCAGGGAAGGAAATTGTCTCTGGTGTTCTTGCTGCAGTGGCCAGAGAATCTGTTACAGGCTCACAGGCTCTTAGGATCTCCATGTAATGGAAATTAACATGGGGACAAATTGATTTCCCAGACAAGGCTGTATTTCAGGACTTGTGCTTGATGGTAAGGGAGGAAATGGAAGTGCAGGAATTTTCCAGCTGGCTCTGCGAAAAAAGCCAGTAGGAAGTATTTTTGTGTGTGCAGTGGCGCGAACAGGGCTCACGGCAGCCTCGTCCTCCTGGGCTCAAGGGATGCTCCCATTACAGCCTCCTGAATAGCTAGGACTACAGGCAAGCACCACCATGCCCTGCTAATTTTTGTGTTTTTTGTAGAGGTAGGGTTTGCCATGTTGCCTAGGCTGGTCTTGAACTCCTGAGTTCAAGCGATCCACCGGCCTCAGCCTCGCAAAGTGCTGGATTACAGGTATTAGCCACCGGGCTCGGACTAAACAGGGATATTTTATTAAGCAAAGCATCAGAATTGATATCAGAGGTAGGGTATGCAATACAGGCTGGGATGGGCAAGTCCGTGAGGGATAGGGTATTCAGGTCACATATCTGGTTGTGATGGTATCTTGAGTAATGGGCCACCTGGTGGTCTGGCCCTTGACAACAAGGCTGTAAATCAATTGTTCAGCATTCCTTCCCTGGTTGGGACATCCCACAATCTTGGTTTGGTATTTGAATTGCTTAAGGCCATTTCTGGAATTTTTAAAGTAAAAGGTATGGTTACACATTATGAGAGCACAAAAGAGCAATATAGAATGGCTATTTTCTTTATAGAATGACTATTAGTGGGTATGGCATCAGTGAGGCAGTGTTGTGGGTTTTGTGATCAGTGGGGACACATGAAGGAATGCTCTAGTGGGGTGAGTTAAAGCCAAGACTAATCCCCATTCTGTCTCAATTCCTCCACTACAATTTGTGTGTTTTCTTATATATTTAGAGCCCCAAATAATACAATAAGTGTTATTTTGAATTTACTTGAACATTTTACTTTTTCCTATACCATTTGCTTCACCTTATGTTTCTGTGTTTTCATCTGGCATTAGTTATTCTACCTGAAGAACTGCTTTTCAATAGTACATTTCTGGTATGTCTTCTGACACTATGTTTGCAGTGTTTTCCTGGAAATATCTTTGTTTTGTTTTCTTTATTGAAGAATATATGCGGAAGTTAACAAATTTTAGGTTGATGGTCATTTTCTTTCAAATGCATAATAATATGTCTTCTAGCTTCCATTATTCTTCACGAAAATTAAGCAGTCTTATTTTTGTTCATTTAAAACTCTTTTTCTTTATCTACTTTGTTTTTGGCTTTTAACAGTTTTAACATGATGTGACCAGGTATTTTTTTTTCATTTATTCTTTGTAGTTTATATTGCTTCTGGAAACTCTATTATGTTTTCTGTTTTCTAAATTATTAGCAACTATTTTTAAAAATATTGCATCTGTGACATTATCTTCTGTAACTTCAACTGTACATCATACAATGCATCTCTCTATCTATCTATATGAACACACACATGTCTTTATAATATATAACTACAATCATGTACCACATAAGAACGTATTGGTTGATCACATACAGAATTGTAGGCCTACAAGATTATAATGCTGTAATTTTACTGTACCTGTTCTAGGTTTAGATATATTTAGATACACAAATACTTACAATCATGTTACAGTTGCCTACAGTATTTAGTATAGTAACATGCTTTACAGGTTTGTAACCTAAAAGCAATAGGCTATACCACATGGTATAGCTGTGTAGTAGTATATAACATCTAGGTTTGTGTAAGTAAACTCTACAATGTTTGAACAATGATATAGCCTAACAAGGCATTTCTCTTAATGTATCCCTGCCATTAAGCAATGTATGACTATCTACTGAATTCTTAACTCATACATAGTCAAGAGTCAATGCTATAAAACAAAAACACATTGTGAAAACTCTTCTTAGTGTAAATCAAACGCAAACATATTTCACTATTAACAAGTGAAAAAGCTTCAAACAAGGCTGGCTATGGATAAATGATTATGTTTTCTCAAGAATAAAATATCTTCATTATTTTGCAGTTTTTGTGAATATCAACTGAACTTTGTGATCAATAAATAGAATTAATTAGGTAGTAAACCACATTAATATAAATATATAAATCAAATACGTTTTCTTCCTATATTTTCCAAATAGAGAAAGCTACAGTAATAACTCTTATACAATGTAAAGAATAGAATATATCAAGCCCATTTAATAATATACTCATTAAAGCATTTAATAAAACAAGTCAAAGTGAGGTAAAAGAAAAAAAAGTAGATTTATTTTAATAAAAACACATGGTCCCCTTGTATCTTTCCTCCTCCACATAGCTTTAATCACTCAATTTGGGTTCATACCCAACTCTACTCAAATAAGATAGACGATTATAGACAGAAAGATAGATAAATAGATGATAGATCGATAGATAGATAGACAGATAGACAGAAGATAGATACATAAAACCACTAACTGGTAACTGGCCCACTACCTAAACTATGTTTACCGTTTACCCTTACACTTTAATGCATTCATGGTGGAGTAGCAATTACATAGCTTTTAAGATGTGGCAATTAGGTGCAGTCAGCAGGACCACACAAAAGTCATCTATTAAAACAAGGCTTGTATGACAGACTAGGATTTGTTATTGATTTCAATATGTAAGATCCACTTATTTCCAAGTGCAAAACACATTCCTTCTTACATCAATTGAGCAGACACAGAAGGTCTAGGTAAATTGGAACTGTCATTCAAATTAGTGATAGAAATAAAAATTGAACAATAAATGATAAATATTCCGATTCTCTAGGGAAATTTTTTCAACAACAAAGCTAATGTAGTGAATAATTACCGACTATGGCTTAAGGTCTGTGAAAATGTGGTATCAAGTTGAATATAGCCTATCTGGATCATGACAATTCACAATAATGAAAAAGTCACCAAGAATAACATGCTTAGGGTATGGTAGTTGTAGTAATCCAACACACAACTACAGAAGCAATTTTTAAAAAATTAAATTTAAGTGTTATTTCCTTCAACTTGGCGAGGTGGAAAATAAAGTTTCATGTTATAGGCTCACTTTACATAGGCTATCTTCAAATTGTTTAAGAGATGTAACAATAAAGAGCTTTGTAAGGTATTTTTAGCAAAAATCACATTTTTAAAGTAAAATTATTCATAAATCAACTAATATATATAATTGATCTGCCTCAATTTCAGATTCATTTGGAACTTTCTGATACAGACAATTGAAAGTTCTGATTCAATCCCATTATTTTGGTACAGAACATTTATTTAATTATAAACAAAATCTGTGAGATGAGCTGTCTAATGCATATTGAATCTCACTTTATCTTTATTTCTATTCATTGAGTTTCAGACATTGAATCAAAAAAAGATTGTAATACCAACAAAATGGGTATAAATCAAAGAAAAAAATGCTTCGTTATTAAAGATCTAAACTATGTTTTTATTTTTAAAATTTTATCTATGAAATGTTTGTGGTTTGGATTGTAATTAAATGAAACACATTAAAAATTACATTTTAAGGAAAACAAGTAGAAGGAAGGAGAAAAACTTTAAAAGGTGCCTGATTATAATAATTTCCATATTTTCATCTAAAGACAAAAGCAGATCCAAATTAATGACCCCAAACCAAGATCAAACAAGTTTCTGACAAGAGAGAAACTGATTATAAAATAAATTGTCCAAAGAAGTTAATTAAGCAAGCAAAGGAACTTCTCAGACTTATCATGAAATAAATTGAGCTAGTTTGTTTTATTTTACTTTCAAATAAGTCACTAGGTTAAAGCAGAACACTTCTGTATGAATAGAATTGGTCATCTTGAAAGAGCAATGGCAATGTCATTCTTGATATGTGTGTGTTTTAGTAGGAAGTAACTATATAAATATCTATTACAAAAATTTATAATTAATGGTATTTTAAGTATTTTATGAAATTAATTATAAATCAGAATATCCATTCAAGCGTTTGAAAATAATGAACTGCAAAGGTTAAAGTTAATCAATAACACTGTTTGTCAAATAAATATCATTAGAATCTTTGTATTTTTTTTTCTTTTGGCACAAAGTGATTTTTCTTTTTGTTTTTGTTCATTTTATTTTGTTTGGTTTTGGTGACTAGACAGGGTTTCTAATCTCCTAGGGAAGTCAGAAGAATTAATCATTCAAAACAATAAAAATGGCACAATTTCTACTCAGATAGGGTCCCTAAGTAATCATTCCTGCACAATAGCATTTTCCTCAAGGTGGCAAGAGTACTATAATTGATGATTTGGGTATGGAATTATTATGTACTAATAACAGTACACAGCCTATTACTGTGTGATATCTCCTGCTGCTTTATAATTAGCTCTGTGCATGGTTTGGATGAGTAGCTGTGTACTTCACGGACTGTTCGCCAGGTAGAACATAACGGCTCCTTGGGAGCCAATTAGCTGGGCCTGTCAAGGCCAATTTCAGCAAATTTAGTTTGTGGATTATAACCCAAAACGCCATAATTGTGACAAGCATACACAGGACTTGACGAGCTAAAAAGAATATCTGCACTGACAATACAAATTATTTCCCATTCATGTTTGTTCATTATTATAATAAAGAATCATTGCTTAGAATTGTCTATGATTCTGAAATCACAACAGTGTTTAGCCTGTGATGAGTAATTATTTACAATTTTTATTTTCAGGGTAGATTCTTAATTTTGAATGAAAATGAGGAAGCAAAAAGAAGTGAGACTTAATATATCCTTTCTCAAAGACGATGATAATTACACTTGATAGAATGTATTAAAAGGTTTTTCTCTAAGAACTGAATCCATCATAAAGCAATGAATACAAAATGTCATGCTTGATCTTTCATTTTTATTGTCGCTTTGCTGTTTTGATTTCTAGAACAGTATTTTGATTAAATTAATGGTTATTCTATGTGATGGCCATGCCTAAATTTTACACAGGGCTGTACTAGTAGAATCTGGCAATCTTATACATAAGGTAAATATTTTATCAACCTCTTCTTTTTCTAACAGTAATAAGTTGATTGTGAATGTTCCTATGGTGTCTACTGATGTTGCAAATAGAGACAGGGCATACCTAAAACTAGGCCTCACTCTATTCATAGGCAGATAATCATCACCTACAGGGTTTGAATTAAAGTAGGCCACATAGTCAGCACCAAAAATTTAATCAGAATATCATATAAAAAATGTCTAGTATTATACCAATTTTTGGAGTAAAGTATTGTCTTAAAATGATGATAAATGCAAATGTGAAGAAATAGTTCAAAGGCAATTTCTTAAAGGTATTTGTTGTAAATTTTAAGAGAAAATGGCTGGCCTAAACTGTCTGGTTTATTTTTGACATAGACAAAGACTTCTCTTGTATAACTTCAGTAATAACGCTTGCTTTTATGTCTGTGTCAAAAATAAACCAGATATTAAATAAGCAGATACAGTAAAAATTTACATATAGAATAGTCAAAATGTGTGTTTTGTTATATCATACATTTTGTGAATTACTGAAATTGTACAAATAATTATCCTGTAATAATTAGAAATTTTTTAGCTAATTGTTTGGAGTAGTTTGCATATTGTAAATTAATGTCTGCAGATAAAGAAAGACATTGTATTTGTTTATCTTCTACATAGCAAGACAGCATGGCTATTTTTGACAAACTTGTATATTTTTTCTCTTTTCTATAAAAAAAGTGTAAACAATACCATTAATTACACAAAACTCATGCTTAACACTCATAAAACCAATATTCTTATAGGTGGGGGTACAGAAGAAAACAAAAAAGTGTCCCTCAACTATCTCACACTTTTATTCATTTTTTAAAAAAAGCTATGATGAAGTAGTATTGTTTTCCAAATATAGTTTTGTAATATGTTAAGGTTAGGTTTACAGTAGAGAAAATAATACAAGTGTAGACCAGTTATACAAATGCCGTTATATCTGAAAAATTGTCTTTGGGCTAAATGTATAAAAATATTAAAGTTTATTGTTATTCTTTAAACCAGGTACACAATAGAAGTACTTGAAAAAAAAACACCTGAATTAAAAAATTGTCTAAATTACTCTGGCTCCATAAATTTAATTTTATAGAAGAATTTGAAATGTACGCATGTTAATATTAAGTTTTGTAAAGATATTATAAATGCTCAAGGTAATAGATATCCCAATTACTCTAATTTAATCATTACACATAGTATGCTTGTATCAAAATATCACATGCACTGCATACATATGTACAAATATTATGAATCCATAATAATTAAAAATATATTTTAATTTGCAAATCATTTAAGCCAATTATATTCATTAAAATAATTTTGAAGGCAAATCTGAATTTATATTTCAGTGTCATCTTCCTTTTGCATTTCAAGAGAATTATTTAAAATGGTAATACCATAAAAATGATATTATGCTATTAAGATGCTAACAGAGATTAAGGACTATACCTGAATCATAACTTTATTATTAAAATATTAGTTTAAAATATTACACAGAAAGGGCTGGGCGAGGTGGCTCACGCCTGTAATCCCAGCACTTTGGGAGGCCGAGGCAGGCGGATCACGAGGTCAGGAGATCGAGACCACGGTAAAACCCTGTCTCTACTAAAAATACAAAAAATTAGCTGGGCGTGGTGGTGGGCACCTGTGGTCCCAGCTACTCGGGAGGCTGAGGCAGGAGAATGGTGTGAACCTGGAAGGCGGAGCTTGCCGAGATTGCGCCACTGCACTCCAGCTTGGGCGACAGAGAGAGACTCCATCTCAAAAAAGAAAAAAAAATTACACATAAAGATATATAATATGCTGACCCACAATACAAAACTACATAAATTGCAAAGAATTGAATGCTGATATGATTTGGCTATGTCCCCACTCAAATCTCATCTTGATTTGTAATCTCCATAATCCCCACATCAAGGGAGGAACCCAATGGGAGGTGATTGGATTGTGGTGGAGTGGGTTCCCTCATGCTGTTCTCATGAGTGTGAGTGAAATCCCACAAGTTCCGATGGTTTTATAAGTGTCTGGCATTTCCCCTGCTTGCAATTCTCTCCTGCCACCATACGAAGAAGGTCCTGGCTTTCCCTTTACCTTCCACCATTACCATAAGTTTCCTGAGGCCTCCCTAGCCATGTGGAACTGTGTGTCAATTAAACCTTTTTCCTTGATAATTAACTCAGTCTTGGTTAGTGTCTTTATAGCTGAGTGAGAATGGACTAATCCAGTAAATTGATATCAAGGTAGTGAAGCACTGCTATAAAGATACTGGAAATGTGTCAGCAACCTTGGAACTGGGTAACAGGCAGATGTTGGAATAGTTTGGAGGGCTCAGAAGAAGACAGGAAGATGTGGGAAAGTTTGGGACTTCCTAGAGAGTTGCTGAATAATTTTGACCAAAATGCTGATAATGATATGGACATCAAAGTCCAGGTTGAGGTGGTCTCAGATAGAGATGAAAAACTTCTTAGGAACTGGAATAAAGTTGACTCTTGCTATGCTTTAGCACAGAGCGGGGTGACATTTTGCCCCTACCCTAGAGATCTGTGGAACTCTGAACTTGAGAGAGATGGTTTAGGGTATCTAGCAGAAGAGATTTCTAAGCATCAAAGCATTCAAGAGAGCTTAAAAGCTTGGAAAATGTGCAGCCTGACAATGGGATAGAAAAGAAAAACCTGTTTTCTGGAGATAAATTCAAGCCTGCTGCAGAAATTTGCATAAGTGACAAGGAGCTGAATGTTAATAGCCAAGACAATGGGAAAAATGTCTTTAGGTTGTATTAGTCCATTTCATACTGGTATAAAGAACTGCTTGAGATTGTGTAATCTACAAAGGAAAGAGGTTTAATTGACTCACAGTTCAGCATGTCCACGGAGGCCTCAGGAAACTTACAATCATGGTAGAAGGCCAAAACAACAACAACAACAACAACAACAAAAACCAAGGCACCTTCTTCACAAGGCAGCTGGAAGAAGCGCCAAATGAAGTGGGGAAGAGCCCCTTATAAAACCATCATATCTCATGAGAACTCACTCACTATCACAAGAACAACATGGCGGAAACCGCCTCCATGATTCAGTTACCTCCACTTGGTTTCTCCCTTGACATGTGGGGATTATGGGGATTACAATTCAAGATGAGATTTGGGTGGGGACAAAAGCCTAACCATATGACGAGGCATGTCATATGCCCATCTGTAAATCTTCTGTGGAGAAATGTCTATTCGAGTATTTGACCATCTTTTATTTGTTTGTCATTATTGAGTCACAGGAATTTCTTATATATCTGGATATTAACTTCCATGTGATTTACAATATTTTATCTCATTCTGTATGTTGCCTTTTCATTCTGTTGATTGCTTCTTTTGATGTACAGGAGTTTTACAGTTTGATGTAGCCTTATTTCTCTAAATTTGCTTTTGTTGCCTGTGTTTTGGGTAATTTATTTTTGATTTTATAACTAATATATCAACAAAATTCATGACAATAAAACAAATCCACAAAATAAGAAAAACTTGATTTGTACACTTGTAAGATATCTACATTTGATGTAAAGGGATATAATATTGCTTGAAGATAGATTGTGATAAGTATACATGTGTAAAGTCTAGTATAATTACAGAAAAAAAGGATAAAACAATGAAAAACAGCTAAGTTATCAATCACATACACATAATGAAATACTAAAATATTTTTAAAAATCAAGTTAATTCAAAAGGAGGCAAGAATGTCAGAAAACATTCTAAGAGAATAAATCAGACAAATCAAAATGAATAGCAAGATTATGGGTTTGAACACAAATGCTTCAAAAATTAAAGCTAATGGACCTTTGTGTTGATTCTATGTCTTTGCTATTATGAACAGGACAGCGATGAACATACAAATGGATGTGTATTTTCGGTAGAATGATTTTCTTTTGAGTATGTACACAGTAATGGGATTGCTAGATTGAATGGCAACTCTGGTTTAGGTTCTTTGAGAAATCTCCAGACTGCTTTACACAGTCGTTAGACTAATTTACATTCCCATCAACATTGTATAAGTATTCCCTTTTCTCTGCTGCCTTGTCAGTATCTATGATTTTTTTGACTTATTAGTAATAGTCATTCTGACTTATATGATATGGTATCTTATTGTGGTTTCTATTTGCATTTATCTGATGATTAGTGATGCTGACTATTTTTTTCCATATGTTTGTTGGCCACTCATATGCCTTCTTTTGAGAATGGTAGATTGGATAAAGAAAACATGGTACATATACTCTATGGAATATAACACAGCCGTAAAAATGAATGAAATCATATAATTTGCAGCAACATGGAGCTGGAGGCCATAACCATAAGCAAATTCATGCAGGAATAGAAAATTGAATATTGCATGTTCTCACTTATAAGTGGAAGTTAAACATTGAGCTCACATGGACATAAATGTGGGAACAACAGACACTGTGTACTACTAGAGAGTGGAGGGAGGGAGAGGGGTAAGTTATAAAACTACCTATTGGGTACTATGTCACTACCTAGGTGATGGGATCTGTACTCCAAACCTCACTATCACAAAATATACCCATGTAAAAAACCATGTATTTTTGATACATGTACCCCTCCCCAGTATCTAAAATAAAAGTTGAAATAAAAATAATTAGAAAGCCAAAAAAATTAAAGTTAACATGATTGATTCAAATAGTCCAAATAAAAAGACGAAACTGTCAGAGTGAAGAAGAAAACAAGCCTCAATTATATAATGTCTGCAGAGGAACATTTTAAATATAAATATACATAGAGACTAACATTTAAAAAAATGGGAAAATGTATTCTATGCAACACTGATACTAATAAAACCCTAATAGCAATATAATATTTGACAAAAAATATAAACAATAAATAATAACAAAGATAAATAAGAATATTGCATAATAATACAGGATCAATTCACCAAAAAGACATAATAATCTCGAATGTATATGCACCCAGTCACAGTCTCGAAATAAGTGAAACAAAATCTGATATAACTAAGAGGAGCAATAAATAGATAAATGGACAATTATAGTTGAACATTTCATCAGTCTTCTCTTAGAATTTATTAAAGCAATTAAACAAAAAAACAGTGAGATGGCCTGGCGTGGTGGCTCATGCCTGTAATCCTGGCACTTTAGGAGGCCAAGGGAGGCAGATCGCTTGAGGTCAGGAGTTCGAGACCAGCCTGGCCAACATGGTGAAAATCCATCTCCACTAAAAATACAAAAATTAGCCTGGCATGGTGGCACATGCCTGTAGTCCCAGCTACTCAGGAGTCTGAGCCAGGAGAATTGCTTGTATCCGGGATGAGAGGTTGCAGTGAGCTGAGATCGTGCCACTGCACTCCAGCCTGGGTGATAGAGCAAGACTCCATCTCAAAAAACAAAACAACAACAACAACAACAAAAAGTTAGATATAGAACATTAGCAAATATTATCAGCTAATTTAACTTAATTTACATTTTTAGAACATTCCATTCAACAGAAGCACGATACATGTATCTTTCAAATACACAAGAAATGCTAAGACAGAACATATGCTGATTAATAAAACACGTTTCTATAAATTTAAAATAATTTAGAACATACAAAATATCTATAATTACCATAAAAATTAAAATAGAGAATTCATAACAGAAAGATAACTGGTTAATTTCTGAGTGTGTGGAAATTGAACAATCTTAGATAATCCATAGATCAAAGGAGAAATGACAATTGGTGTTGTTTTATTAGAAAGACAAAGTAATTATTATTCAGGACTTGTGATAACATTTCAACAATTTTGATATAGACTAAATTTAAATTATGATGATAATTTTGATAATAAAATTCCAAAAGAAAACATGGCTGGGCATGGTTGCTAACGCCTGTAATCCCAGCACTTTGGGAGGCTGAGGTGGGTGGATCACGAGGTCAGGAGATCAAGACCATCCTGGCTAACACAGTGAAACCCCGTCTCTACTAAAAATCCAAAAAATAAAAATAAAAAAATAAAAAATAAAATTAGCCGGGCATGGTGGCAGGCACCTGTAGTCCCAGCTACTCGGGAGGCTGAGGCAGAAGAATGGCGTAAACCCAGGAGGTGGAGCTTGCAGAGAGCCGAGAGCGCGCCACTGCACTCCAGCCTGGGCGACAGAGCGAGACTAGGTATCAAAAAAAAAAAAAAAAAAAAAAAAAAGAAAGAAAGAAAACATTAGAGTTGTTTTAAAAAAAACTAATAACCTAATAACAATAATAGAATGAGGAGTCAAGATATTTTGAAAGAGTAGCAGACACAACCTTTGTCTTGGAAACCTGATACACAAGAAATTTTTGAAGTATAATGTATTTGATTTTTAGTGACAACTGGAATATTTTAAGATTGTAACTCTGAATCTCTGTTTATATTCAGTTATATTTTATTAGTATTTTCGTAACTAATTGAGATAGGTCTGTGCTTGAGATTTTTACTAGAAAATGTATGTAAAATTGTATTTATGACACGTTTAATATATTATGCAAATAAAACAGGTTTTGTATTTTTTATTTCAGAAAATAAGTGAATGCTTTTTGTATTTTTATTTTATGAAATTATAAAGTATTAGTTATAATCATTTAAAAATAATATAATTTTGATTTTATCTATTATTTTCTGTTATGATTAAACAGAAAGTTGTTTAGGTAAATCATACCCTTATTTTATATTTTTTAAAATATATAATATTTCCTTATTAGTTTATAGCAGAAAGAAAGTACTTTTTTTTGCATACGAGTTACTAACAATATATACTCATAAGTAGTACCCAGATATCTTGAGAGCTATCTGAATAGTCCATCATAAGCATGTACTCCTTGACTCAGGTGTGCTGATAACAATCTGAACAGCCAGGCAGTGGCATGTACACTGTGACCTAGGTCACTTCCAGCAGCCTGGCATCTGGCCCTTGAGTCTCTCAAGTATCACTTCTGATGTCAAATTGAACTCATAGCTTTTAATATCTTTTAGCATATTATTGCTAGATGACATTTATTCTAAAAACACTTGACTCTTGAGTGACATAGAGTTAAGGGCAGCAACCCCTGTGCAGTCAAAAGTCTGTGTGTAGGTTTTGATTCCCCCAGAACTTAACTACTAACAGTCTACTGTTGACCATGAGCCTTACCTCTAACACAAACAGTCAATTAACACATATTTTGTATTTTATGTGGATTACGTACCATATTCTTACAATAAAGTAAGCAGGATAAAATAAAATATTATTAAGAAAATTGAAAATGTGTTTACTATTCATTAAGTGGTTGTGGGTTATCATAAAGGTCTTCATCCTCATTGTCTTCAAGTTGAGTAGGCTAAGGAGAAGAAAGACCCTAGTCTTGGGTCTCAGGTATGGCAGAAGTGGAAGAAAATCCACCTGTCAGTGTACCCATGCAGTGAACACGTGTTGTTCAATGGTCAGCTGTATAGGCATATGAATTAGAATTAATTCTAAAAGTGAACTCAATGTACCAACAAGTGGCGAAGTTTTATATCTAACAGATTTTATAAGTTTGTTCATATTTGGGAGGTGGTGTACAGTCATGCAATTTGATAGCCCTGTTATTTATTTAGAATAATTATACACAGCTATTAAACTTTATGTACATAAATTCAGTGTTGATATCATGAAATATTATACCCATTAGTCTTTGATATTTATTTAATCAACCATATTTTACTGATCAGATTGCATTGTTTTGACTAATCTATATCTATATATATTAGTGCCTTATATATGTATACATATATATATTTGTTTGTGAATGGCACTCAATGTGTTTATGAACAAATTTGGTTTAAGGTCTTTTGTTTAGCTAGAAAGCCATGTCAGGAACCCCACTAGTACTTTTATATCAATGGAACCAGTTCTTTCCTATTTATTCATTTTTACTTATCAAGAGCTATGTCACTGGCAAACATATTTAAATTTTTAAAATAAAAACAGAAAAAAAGTAGATAACTAGATACAATTAAATATCATCCAATATATTCCTAATTGAGGAAGAGTTTACTTTTCTCTGAGATATTTCCGAGATTCTTTTAATATTTTTATAACACCATTTTTAAAAGATTGGCCATTTGCTTGTTGGATATCTTAGCCCTAACGCTATTTAACTGAAATCATATACCCTTTGACCAACATGCACCCAGCCTTTTCACAAAACAGCCCCAGCTCATGGCAGCCACCAATAAATTATCTACTTTTATAATACAAATATTTTCAGGTTCTACATATGATTGAGATTGTGTAGTATGTGTCCTTCTGCACCTGGCTTATTTCATTTAATATAATGTCCTTTAGGTTTATCCATGTTGTTCCAAATTACAGAATTTTCTTTTTTTTACGGCTGGCTAGTATTCCATTTTGTATATATGTCATATTTTCTTTATCCATCCAGCCACTGATGGATACTTACAATGACTCTGTATAATGCCTATTGTGAATAATGCTGCAATGAACATGGGAGGACAGAGACATCTTCCACATTCTGATTTCTTATATACATATATATATACATATAAGAAATCAGAAATTATATACGTATACACATGCACACACAAACACACCCAGTAGTGAGATTGTTGAATTTTACCATAGTGTAGTTTGCTAATTTAATTTTTTTGAGGAACCATCATAATGATTTGCATAATGGCTATATTAATTTACATTCCCAACAACATGATACAAAGGATCCTCTTCTCCACAAATTCTCCAACACTTCTTATCTTTCATATTTTTGATAATGGCCATTCTAGCAGATGTGAGATGATATGTCATTGTGGATTTACTTTGCATTTCCCTGATGATCAGTGATGTTGAACTTTTTTACATGCTTGTTGGCTTTTTTGTGTATTCTTTTGAGAAATGTCTATTCAACTCCTTTGCTCATTTTCATTGGATTATTTGTTTTCCTCCTATTGAGTTCTTCGAGTTGCTAATATATTATGTATATTAACTCCTTATCTGATGTATACATTGCATATATCTTCCCCAATCTGTAGGTAGTATTTTTACTCTAATGATTGTTTAATTTGCTCTGCACAAGCTTTTTAGTTTGATGAAAATCCATTTGTCTCCTTTTGCTTTCATTACCTGTGGTTTGGAGTTATATTGAAAAAGTCATTCCCCAGACCAATGTCATGAATTTTTCTCTATGCCTTTTTCGAAAATGTTCATAGTTTTCAGTCTTAAGTTTTAGTATTATGTTGCCTTATAGTTTATTTTTACATGGTGTGAAATAAGGATACAATTTCATTCTTTCACATGTGGCTATACATGTGTCCCAACACCATTGATTGAAGGGACTTTCTTTTTCAACCATTTTGTGTTTTTTTCAACTTTGTTAAAAATCAGCTGGCTGTGAATGTGTAGATTTATTTGGTGGCTCCTTATTCTATTTCATTGCTCTATATGTCTATTTTTAGGTCAGTAACATGCTGCTTTAATTACTATAGATTTGAAGTGAAGAGTGTGATGCTTTCAACTTTGTTCTTCTTCCTCAAGATTGCTTTGGCTATTCTGGGTCTTTTGTGGTTCCATACAAATTTTAGAATTGTTTTTTCTATTTCTCTCAATAATGTGGTTAGCAATTTGATAGAGAGTGCGTTGAATCTGTAGATTGCTTTGGATAATATGGACATGTTAATAATATTCATTCTTCCAGTCCATGAACTTGAGATATCGTTCCCTTCATTTGTGTCTTCTTCAATTTCTTTCATCAATGTTTTATAGGTTTTAGTGTATAAATCTTTCATACCACGTTAAATTTATCCATAAGTATTTGCTTTTTGTAGCTATTATAAAAGGAACTGCATTCTTGATTCTCTTTTAGATACATCATTGTTAGTATATAAAATGCTACTAATTTTTCCATGTAGATTTTATATCCTGCAACTTTATTTAGTATATTTATTGTATATAAGAGGTTTTTTATTTTTAGTGGAGTCTTTAGGATTTTCTATATTTAAGTTCACATTTTCTGCAAACAGGGACAATTTAACTTCTTATTTTTCCATGTGGGTGCCTTTTACTGTTTTCACTTGCTAATTGCTCTGCCTGGGACCTCCAGTACTACATTGCATAAGAGTGGCAATAGTGAGCATACTTGTCTTATTTCATAGCTTAGATGAAAAGTTTTCAAATTTGCCCCATTGAGAATGATGTTATCTTTCAGTGTGTCATACATGGCCTTAATTACATTCAGTTACATTCCTTCTATACTTAATTTTGTGAGATTTTGTCATAAAATGATGTTGAATACTGTCAAGTGCTTTTGCTCCAACTATAGAAATAATGATATGGTTTTTGTTCTTCATTCCTTTAATGTAATGCATCACAATTATTAATTTATGCCTGATGAACTGTATTTGCATTACTGAGATAAACGCACCTGTTTATGGTAAATTATCTTCCAAATTTGTTGGTCAATTTGGTTTGCTTGTATTTTGTCATTTTTGCATCTGTGTTCATCAGGGATATTGGCCTGTAGTTTTCTCTTTTTGTAGTGTCATTGTCTGCCTTTGGTATCAGCATGATGCTGACCTTGTAAAATGAGTTTTGCAATAGGCCTTTCCCTTCAATTTTTTGGGAAATTTGAGAAAAAGTGGGAGTCGTTCTTCTCTAAAAGTTTTATGGAATTCATCAGTGAAGCCATCAGGTCATGAGCTTTTCTTTATTGCAAAATTTTGCATTACAGTTTCAATATCCTTACTCATCATTAAGCTATTCTGTTAAGCTATTCTATTTCTCTATAATTCAGTCTTTGTAGGTTGTATGCATCAAGAAAATTATTGGTGTATAATTATTCATAATAGTCATTTATGATCCTTTGTATTTCTGTTGATTCAGTTGTACTATTCTTTAATTTTGGATTTTATTTGAGTATTGTCTTTTTTTCTTCATCTAACTAACAGTTGTCAATTTTATGGTTGTCAATGGTTGTCAGTTTTAAAACTTAGTTTCGTTGATCTTTTTTATTGTTTTCCTACTCTTTATATCATTTATTTCTGCACTGATGGTTATTAATTTCTTCCTTCAACTAACTTTGGATTCAGTTTGTTTTTGTTCTTCTAGTTCCTTGAGAATGACCCTAAAGGAATTTCAGAGGTCTTCAAGGATTCCCATCTTATCACAAGCCAAGAGTGCTAGAGCCTTGCAGTCAGAATTTTTTAAAGGGAGGGGTCCAGGGCAGAGGCGGTACTTTTGGACTCACTGTCCAGGGCTGCCTCAAGTATATGCTCCCTGTATTTTCCTTAGGCAGGCTCAGGTGCATCTCAGGCCACAATTCTGGAAGGTGCAAAAGGTGAGCTATGGCAGCATGTACATGGTGCTTACTCTGCAGGTGTATGGTGTATAGGAGCTGTGGAGGCACGACTTCACCTATCTTTATTTAAAAGGATGCCTTAGAAAGCCTTGATGCCCAACCAACAATTTGCTACATATGTGGAGCTATCACTGAGAGCCCCCAGTAGTGCAAAACTTAGAGGAATTGTGGGGGCAGGACTGCCTCCGAGACCCCATAACAGTAGAGCAATCAGCATGATATGCCAGCCTGTGAGAGCTATAGGCACATGACTCCAACCTATGAGAGCTTTTGTGCACACTTTGCCCAGCAAAGCCATGGTTACATGGCTGTCCAAGACTTTAAGGACCCAGTTCCCACTCTAGTGTGTCCAGAAGCCTAGACATGGAGTCAAATAAGATGACAATTAACTCTTAAGATTTAATTTTGTTTTTCTTTTTGAGTTTTGGGCTTACTTGAGTCCTGTTACTCCTCTCCTTTCTTACCACTACCTTTTGCAATAGAAATGTCTGTCCTATGCTTGTCTCACCATTGGATTTTGAAAGCACATAACTTGTTTGATTTCACAGGCTCTCAGCAAGAGAGAAATTTGTTTTGGAATAAATTGTGCCTTAAGTCTCACCCAAATCTGATTTAGATGAAGCTTTAGACTTAGATTTTAAAGTTGATTTGGAATGCGTTCAGAATTTGGGGGCTGCTGGGCATAGGAGTGCGAGCCTGTAGTCCCAGCCACTTGGAGGCTGAGGCAGGAAAATCACTTAAGCCCAAGAGTTGGAATCTAGCCTGGGTAACAGCAAAGCACTGTCTCTAAGCTGAAAACATAAATAAATTGATTAAATTAAATAATTTAATTTTGGGGGTTATGTAGATGAAGAGTATTTTTTTTTGTATGAGGCCTTCAATTTCAGAAGGCCAGAGACAGAATATTGTCCTCTGCAAATTTTCTGTTAAAACTTAATCCCTAATGTATTGAGAAGTGTAGTTTTTTGAAAGGTGATTAGATCAAGAGGGTGCTACACTTATGAATGGACTAATGCCATTATAAAAAGGGCTTGTGAGAGAAGTTTGCTTTCTTTTTCTATTCTACATGTGAGGACAGGATGTTCATCCTTTCTGGCCGTTCCACATTCCACCATGTGGGAACACAGCAAGAAGACACTGAGAAGATGTTGGCACCTTCATCTGGACTTTCTGGAACCCAGTATTTATTTTTTATAAATACTTGAGTGTGTGAAATAAATATATATTCCTCACAAATTATCCACTCTAAGTATTCTGTTAAAGCAGCACAAACTGACAAAGACAGAAATTGATCACATGCCAGAGATGCAAAGGGGGTTCAACATACACATATCTATTAATGTGACATACCACAATAACAAAATCTATATGACCATTTTAATAGATACAAAGAATGCTTTTGATGAAATTCAACATGTTTTCATGATTAACAGTATAAAATATTAGATGTAGAAGGAATTTACATCAATACAATAAAGGTTATATGTTACAAACCCAGAGATAACATCAGTCTCAACAGGGTAATGTTAAAGTTTTTCCCTAAGATATGAAGTAAGACAATTTTGCCCAGTCTTGCTACTCCTATACAATATGGTACTGGAAGTCCCAGCCAGAGTAATTAGATAAATGAAAACAATAAAAGACACCCAAATGGAAAAATTAAAAGTTAAATTTTCCCCATTTGAAGATGGCATGATCTTCTATGTAGAAAATTCTAAAGACTACACTAAATAAAAAATTGTTAGACCTCATAAATATACTAAATAAAATTGAAAGATAGAAAAAAAAGTAGCATTTAATATACTAACAATGAAATATCTAAAAAGAGAATAAAAACAGTCCTTTTTATAATAGCTACAAAAAATTACTTAGGGAAAAATTTAACCAATGAATGAAAGAACTTGAAGAAGACACAATAAAATGAATGATATCTCGTGTTCATAGATTGGGTAAATATTATTAATATATCCATAATACCAAACACAGTCTACAGATTCATCACACTACAAATTTTCAATCACATTATTGAGAGAAATAGGAAAAACAATCCTAAGGTTTGCATGGAACCACGAAAGATCCAGAATAACGAAAGCAATCTTGAGCAAAAAGAATAAAGCTAGAGACATTACACCCCAGATTTCAAAAATACATTATAAATCTATAGTAATAAAAAAATCATGATGCTTACCGAAAAGCAGACATATGGAGCCACGGAACAGAATAGGGAACCCAGAAATAGATCCACACATTTACAGCCTGCTGATTTTCAACAAAGTTGAGAAGAACACAAAACGGGGAAAAGGTAGTCCCTTCAAACAATGGTATTGAGACAAGTAGATTTTCACATTCAGATAAATGAAATTGTTATTAACTATAGTTGCCCTATTGTGCTACCAAATACTAGATCATATTCTTTCTACCTAACTGTATTTCTGATAAATAATGATAAATATTTTAGGAGGTAAAAATCCCAGTTATCAAGATTTGATCATTACACATTGTATACTTGTTTCATGTATCACATATGCCCCATAAATATGTACAGCTATTATGTATTCATAAAAATTAAAATTAAAAAAACTAAGAAAGAATTTAGACCCTTATATCATATCACATACAAAAATCAACTCAAAATGGATTAAAGACTTAAATGCAATAACTGAAACTGAATAGCCACTAGAAGAAAACATAGGGAAAAAGCTCCATTATATTTTTATGGGGAATGATTTTTTTAGATATGAACCGAAAAACAGTCAACAAAAGCAAAAATAGACAAATGGAATAACATCAAAGTAGAACATTTCCATACAACAGAGGAAACAATCAAGAGAATTATGAGACAACCTATGAAATGGATAAGATATATTCAAACCATATATCTAACAAAGGGTTTCTATTCAAAATACAAAGGAAACTCATACAACCTAGTAGCAATGAAACAAATAATTTAGAAATGGGCAAAAGATCTAAACAGAAATTTCTCAAAAGAAGACATACAAATGGTGATAGGTTCATGAAAAACTGCTTTACATCATTAATCATCAGGGAAATACAAAGTACAACTACAATGAGAGATCAACTTACACCTGTTAAAATAGCTATTACTAAAAGCACTAAAGATAACAAATGCTGGCATGTATGAGGGGATAAAGAACTCTTTCAATCTGTTGGTGAGGAAGTAAATTAGTATAGCCAGTATGGAAAACAGTATGGAATCTCTTCACGATAATAAGAATAGAACTATTATATAATTCAGCGTTCACATTATAGGGTACATATCTAAAGGAAATGAAATCAGTATGTAGAAGAGATATCTGCATCATATATTCATATTCATGACAGCATTATTCACAAAAGCCAATAATATATGAGATCAACCTAAGTGTTCATCAACAGTGAGTAGATAATGAAAATATTGTATATGTGCCCAGTGGAATATTATTAAGCTTTTAAAAGAAAGATATTTCATCGTTTGTCATGACATGGATGAACCTAGAGGACATTATATTGAGTAAAATAAGCCAGGCATAGAAAGACAAATACCACATTATCTCATTTATGTGTCCTATTTTTTAAGGTTGAATTCATAGAAGTAGAGAATATAATTTTCTTTGCCAGGGCCCAGGAATTTTAGCGTTTGAAGCGATGTTGGCCAATAAAATCAAATTTCATTTAGGCAGGGGAGAATAAGTTCAAGAAATCTATTTTCCAACATGGTGACTATAGTTACCATGTTCGGTCTCATTGGTGCTGCATTGGTCTTGAAGGTGATAAAAGTTTCACACTAAATTGATGTCAGAATACTAATGTTTTTGTTCCTGGTAGCTGTGTATTATCTCTTGGTTTAATTTGTCTGAAGTCAGAGAGGCAGTAAAGTTGTCATGAATACAACTAAATATTTATAACACAATATTTAATATTTATTTAAATTGGTGATAAATTATTTTATGGGGGTTAAGAGAATGTACTCTTAAATCAGAATCAATAGATTTGAATCCCTGCCCAGCCACTTCATAGTTGGATAACTGTGGGTCAGTTACTATAATATCTCCGTACAACAGTTTCTTTTGTTAATGGAAAAACTAATAATGCATACTTCATTGAGGTATTGTAAGTATTAAATCAATCTGAGACATAATATGCACTATATGTGTGTGTTACTATTAATGATATTATTATTACAAATTCCGTACCGTATGACTAAGAACCAGTTTTCGTGTATAGGCAAGAATATAACCCAAAGGATAACTGCCATTTCTTTTCTTTCATCCAAGCAAAAGATGTATAAACCAGGGAAGGCTATGTCACATGTTTCTTATCATAAAGGGTGAAATAATGCTAAACCAGCAGCTAGTAGAGTCTGGCTTGAATTAGTAGGCTCAGCAAAAACATACAAGATGTTCTTTCTCTCTCCAAAAATCTCATTATTTTGAACACTGCACACTAGAAAAATGCTTTTTTCTCTCTCTCTTTTTTGGTAGATTGTGTATGAATAATGGGATAAAAATTGGAATAAAGAGAAAGTATATGATACTCACCTTCATCTGTCTTCAGAGTTTTAGATGATCTCCAGTCTGTTTTTCTAAGGTTAGAAGACAAGACAAGTATGAATACCTTACATAACACCTACTGTAGTTAATTTTAAAGGTCACTCTTTTTTTTTTCAAAAATAAAAATGACAAAAAGTTACTGGCTCATCTCGTCTTTTCTGCTTTTCCTCAAGGGCCAGGTCTCTGAGTTCCTCTCTCACAAACAGTGCAGTGATATTATGTATTACTCTTACCAATTTGTGCATGTGATTTTAAAGATGGTATCATTGGGGCCGGGCGCGGTGGCTCACGCCTGTAATCCCAGCACTTTGGGAGGCCGAGGCGGGTGGATCATGAGGTCAGGAGATCGAGACCATCCTGGCTAACAAGGTGAAACCCCGTCTCTACTAAAAATACAAAAAATTAGCCGGGCGCGGTGGCGGGCGCCTGTAGTCCCAGCTACTCGGGAGGCTGAGGCAGGAGAATGGCGTGAACCCGGGAAGCGGAGCTTGCAGTGAGCCGAGATTGCGCCACTGCAGTCCGCAGTCCGGCCTGGGCGACAGAGCGAGACTCCGTCTCAAAAAAAAAAAAAAAAAAAAAAAAAAAAAAAAAAAAAAAAAGATGGTATCATTGGGATACTTTGAATAATGATAGCCTGTGTCTTGCGAATTTAGCTAAGAATCTTTCCTCTGGAATCATTTCAGATGAACAGTAAGGTAAAATACAGTGAAGACAGGAAAACTACCGATTCTTTGAAGGCAGTGTGGCAGCCTCTATGTCCTAGTTTTGTTTTCTGTTAATGTTTATTCAAAATTTAAAAACTCAAATAAAAAATGGTATTCCAAATTTTATGCCTATTACAAATTAACTACAATAGAAAAAATAGAGTATTATATTCTCTTCTAAACTTAGTTAGGGTAACATAATTTAAAGTGTATTAATTTGTCATGAATTATTCAATCTTGTTTCTACTATTGTGGTGTTCTCACATGCTGAATATTAACTTGTAGACATCAAGGGATGTATAAGAAAAAGTGCAAGTCAATCTGTTTCTCTATTTTTCCAATTATGGTTGCTTTAGTTTTGGTAGGTGAAAAAAAGTATTTTAAAAATCGTATTAACTTCCCATTTGTTTTAGAAGGTACAGCTGGAATACCTCTAAATTATTTCTATTCATCCAAACTCATAGTTATTTTTGTGATTTTTTAAAACATTTTTTAAACTTTAAAAAATTTTTAAATAGTTTTAGATTTACAAAAATGTTGCAAGGATACAATAAAGAGCTCTAGTATACCCCATGCTCAGTTTCCCCTTTTATTTCTATGATGCCTTTATCACAACTAATGAAATAATATTAATACCTTATTATCTAAAGTTTAGACTTTTTTGGATACCCACAATTTCTATGTAAAGTCTCCTTTGCTCTTCAAGAATTTCATTCATAAAAATAAAAGAATTCTGTTCAGGATACCACATTACATTTTGTTGTCATGTTTCCTTAGGCTTCTCTAGAGTGTGACAGTTTCTCAGACTTCCATTGTTTTTTATAACATTGATCATTTTTCAGAGTGCTGGTCCTGTATTTTGCAGAATTCCTTTTGTTTGGGTGGTCTGATGTTGTTCTCATGGTTAGAGAGTGGTTATAGATTTTGGAGTAAAGACCGCAGATGTAAAGTACTATTCTCATTAATTCTTGTAAAGAGTTTATGCTATATCTACACAAATTATTGCTGTCAGTGTCAGCCTTTATTCCCTGGTTGAAGTAGTCTTTGTGAGGTTTATCTACTGTAAAATTATTACTCTTTTAGAAGAAAGTTACCTTGCTGATTTAACCCTGAAGGGTGGGGTAGTATCCTGAAGGAGGGATGTCTCTTTGATATACCCTCATTGTTGTGTATTGCTTCGCTTTTGTTTGTTTGCTATGACTCCATTTCTTTCTGGTATGATGAGATGCTCTGGGATCATACTTTATATTTGCTGCCTTAGCCCTAGAATCAGCCATTTCTCCAAGGAGCCTAGGTTCCTTTTATTGAAGAATGGCATTAGAAACCCAGCTCTGGGAAATGGGTTTGCATGTTGCTAGTATGGTGTTGGTGTTCCTAAGCTCTTTCAGTGGACAGAGTTAGAAAATACATGCATGTATACTAATCCGTCTCTATACACACCTTTATCTATATTAAACTAAATATGAATTCATGCTCAGGCTTCTAGCTCTTATGAAATGCCACATAGTTCATTTTAGCTTTTACCACTTGCTTATCTGTAACCCCTTGTTGAAATAGTAAGAAACCTGTGTTCTACCATTTGTAATTCATTTATTCACACAATTTCAATATACAGTTATAGTGGTTTCAGAATTAACCTACACCCATAAAAGAGTCTTACCATGAATAATCCTATTGGGAGAACCCGCCCCCAATATTTCAACATAGGTTCTTTCTATTTTTCCATAAGTGTCAGCCAACTGAGAAATAAAGAGAAAGAGTACAAAGAGAGGAATTTTACAGCTGGGCCACTGGGGGTGACATCACATATCAGTAGTACCATGATGCTCACCTGAGCCTCAAACCAGCAAGTTTTTTATTAAGGGTTTCAAAAGGGGAGGGAGTGTAAGAACAGGGAGTAGATCACATGCTTCAAAGGGCAAAAAGGAGAACTACTGATAAGGGTCCAACAAAGATCACAAGGCAAAGGGCAAAAGCAGAACTACTGATAAGAGTCTATGTTCAGTGGTGCACGTATTGTCTTGATAAACATCTTAACAGAAAACAGGGTTCCAGAGCAGAGAATCGGTCTGACCACAGATTTATCAGGGCGGGGTTTTTCCCCACCCTAGTAAGCATGAGGGTACTGCAGGACACCAGGGTGTATCTCAGTCCTTATCTCAACCGCATAGGACAGACATTCCCAGAGCGGCCATTTACAGACCTCCCCCCAGGAATGCATTCCTTTCCCAGGGTATTAATATTAATATTCTTTGCTAGGAAAAGAATTTAGCAGTATCTTCCCTACTTGCACGTCCATTTATAGGCTCTCTGCAAGAAGAAAAATATGGCTCTTTTTGCCTGACCCCGCAGGCAGTCAGATTTATGGTTGTCTTCCCTTGTTCCCTAAAAATTGCTGTTATTCTGTTCTTTTTCAAGGTGCACTGATTTCATATGGTTCAAACACATGTGTTTTACAATCAATTTGTACAGTTAACACAATTTTCATAGTGGCCCTCAGCTTACGAAAGAGAACAGGATTAAGAGATTAAATTAAGACAGGCGTAAGAAATTATAAAAGTATTATTTAGGAATTGATAAATGTCCATATTAAAATTAAATCTTCACAATTTATGTTCCTCTGCTGCGGCTCCAATTGGTCCCTCCATTTGGGGTCCCTGACTTCCTGCAACATAATCCAGTGTTTATGTTCATTTCATGCTGTGTTTAGCATTGAGTCTCCACCCATTTACAGAGTTACTCAGATCAGTATCTTTCTTTTTCTCCATCCTTTTCATTGAGATTACACATATATTTTCCTTGGTAAGAGAGTGAAATTCTTTTGTCACAGTCTGCATTCTATATTTGTAATTCCCCAACTTTCTCAATAATTTTTTAATTGCATACATTAAGTTTCACTCTTTCTACAAATTAATATTTTATTGTTTTTTTTTTTTGCTTTACCCTACTTTTTCTCTGTTGTTCCCCATGACTCTCAATTTAATTGTGGATACATAGAGGTGATTTAGGTTTAGTGAGAGAGCCGTCTCTGCAGTCTCCTTGTCCTGAGCAATTCTGCTCAATTGAAAGTATTAACTTTGGAAACACCTACTTTTTACATGGTTTGTAAAAACCATGTGTAATGGTTTCAGAATGTTACTATTTGCCTTGAAAAGCCATCATGGACTCACATTTTTGTGAGGCACATAAATTACCTCCCAGAAATCACTTTATACAATGCTTTCCTAGCATGTAATTATGTAAATATTCTTCTACCCTTCCATATATGTTTCCTCAAACCCACCACTCAGCCCTAGAGCAATCATATACATAATTTGGTTTAGGTGTGTGTGTTTTTCTGTGTGCATGTGTGTATGTATACACGGGGGTTAACACAGTAGTTCATTTCTAAATACACGTTTGTATGTTTTTTATAGTCTGAGTTAACAGTGCAATTAAAAAAACTTGTATGAGTAATATTTATTTATTTTTCCCATTATAGGTCCACTGTGGATCAACAGTGTAGCTCTGCTCAGCACACTGACTTAGGAACTGAGCCAACAGAAACTCCAACTCAACACATTTTTTCTAGTAACACCAGAGCAGAAAAATAACCTTAAAACATCTAATCTGGAGTGACGCATGTCATCAATGACTATATTTCATCTACTAAAGCAACTGAGGATACATGTATATTCAAATGAAATGGTAAGGGACATTTCTACCATGAACTTGAAAGAGCAGCAATGATTAAGGGTCAATACAATGATAAATCCTTTTTCAACTGGAAATAAACCTCAGAATCCTAAGTACTGCATATGAGGGAAAAAATAAAACCATGATATGACACAAAGATATACATACAAATCACAATGATATTATTAATTACTTATATTCAAATAAGCTATATTTTGTGGCTATATATTTTTACTCCAAAAATTGAAAAAAATATAATTTTTCAAATTTTAACTAAATGCCAAAGGATAAAATAATATCATAAATGGTAAATATATTCTAACAATAATTGCTATAACTTCAGTTATTTTATTGACTTTTATAAATGTATGTTACATGTATTTAACAAGTAATGTCTTATATTGCATGTAGATTTTTGAAGTGTTAGAGAGATTCCTTTATTATATTTCAAAAATTATATTTCCAGTAAGAGTATTCCATGTGGGAGATGTTAATGACTTTTCCCAAATCGCTCAATCTTCCTTGATGAAATCATAAAAACTTTGACTTTCCATTGGAAATGAGGTTTCAGAACAAAGTGGGACTTCTAAAAATTGATTTGTTGTCCATTAAGTGGGAAACTTTCTTTGTTTTTCTCTTTTTGGTTACTTGCATTTTGAGGGAAATCTTCAGGAGCTGATTCTATTCAATTGTCATTGCCTATGACAAAAATTCTATTCTTGACCAAACTGGAGAAAGGTTCCTCTGAGTGCTCTATTCAAGAAGGCCTCAACTCTACTGCAGACTCTCACTACCTCTCCAAACTCTTATTAAGATTTGCACAAACACTAACATATTTTCAAACAGCTCAAGGGCATATTCCAAGGATGACCTTAGGTCCCTTTAATGTGCAGTATAAAGAAACTGAGAGATATCAGGAGAATTACAATTTGTTCTAATAAAAAATCTAGTAATAATCAGGCCCCTGACCTGCACACCTCCCCCCTGCCCCTGCCCCTGCCCCCCTATAGAGGAGTTACTTTAGAATGCTAACAGTTGTAAATCCTTTCTCTCCCACTTTGAGATGTTGGAATTCCATCAACAAGAACTATATTTTCAAGGACCTGAGAGCCATTTCTTCCAGATGCAAACATCCAGAGAAATAACTCCAGCTCTCCCTCACAGCCTGGTGAGTGTCTTGCTCTAACTTGCACTATTACTTTCTGTCATGAAGACAGATAAGTTATCTCCTTCAGATAAGCATGAAGAACAAACTCAATCTCTGTTTTAACTCTCCGCTAGTTTCCTCTTTCTACTCCTTCATTCTTTCTTTAAAATACTCAGTCACCTCTGCACAAAACAAAGTTGACTTCAGTTCAAGATAGACCATCTTCCCCATTGCAATAATGATTATTGAATAAAGTCTGTCCTTGCCAATTTAAAAACTCATGTTCAGTTTATCTTTGACCTCTCTCATCCCGTCTTCTCTGATGACTTAGATTTTTATCATCTCAGCATTCATTCTCTGATTTTTCCTCAAAATGTTACCATCATAAAAGATGAATCCTCTATGAGAGCAACAGAGATGAGAAAGTCAGCTAACCTCTGAGAGGGAAACATTGAGTAGTGGCTTAGGATAGACTGAGTGATCTGATTAAAGAATCTCAGTTGCGGTCAGGTGAGGTGGCTCACACCTAGTGTAATCCTAGCACTTTGGGAGGCTGAGGCCAGTGGATCACCTGAGGTCAGGAGGTCGAGACCAGCCTGACCAACATGGCAAAACCCTGTCTCTACTAAAAAATAAAAAAAAATAAAAAATTGGCTGGGCATGGTGACAGCACCTGTAATCCCAGCTACATGTGAGGCTGAGGCAGGAGAATCGCTTAAACCTGGAAGGTGGAGGTGCAGTGAGCTGAGATTGCACCATTGCACTCCAGCCTGGGAGACAGAACAAGACTCCATCTCAAAAAAAAAAAAAAAGAATTTCAGTTGCAAAGAAAAAAGTGAAAGAGTAGGAATGGTTGAGAGATGAATTCTGATTAGAGTCTATACAGAGAAGAACTAAAATAAGTAACCCCATAGTGCATAATGACATGTGATCTGGCAGACTTGGATTCCTGAGTGCCTCAGCAAATAAGGATAAGATACATGTTGAGCAAAGCAGTACAGCTATAAAACAATATAACTATTTTAAATACCTGGGCTGCTAGTGTCACCACTGAGAGATGGAGATGACTCCTTAGGACACTCAAAGACTAAATATACTGGAACTCTTTTGCTCTAAATAGAAATATTGTGCCTTGCACAGTGTTTAACATATAATCTGCTAAAAAATGTGTCAGCATAAATACAAGAAGTAATTCAGGTTAAGGCATCAATGACAATGACAGGTAAAGTCTTCACAATAATATTTTTCTGGTGAAGATGTTGTGAAATTCCTCTTCAGCAGATCATCTTTTGGAAAAAGAACTAGAGAAAGAGTTTAAGTGGAATCGGTTTCCTAAATAAATGAAAGCCGATTGAATGTAGTTTTTTGCCAACATAGAAAGTTACAAATCTTGAAACTGTTTGTGGCCAAAGATTGAAGAATGGAGCAATGATAGGTAAATGTAGGGAGTCCCTATGTGGTTAATATTTTTTTCAAGTTCATGAGATACAATTTGCATACAGTACAAACCTTGCTTTTAAAACGGTTAGTTCCATGAGTTCTGATAAGTGGATGCAATCAGGTAACCGCCAACACAATCATGGTATAGAATATTTTTATCATCCTCCAAAAAGTTATTTTATGCCCTCTTGGAGTCAGTATCAATCCTCACTTCATTCTCTGGAAACCACAGATTTTGGTAGATTAAATACACAGAGTGCTTGCTCTGAAGCCACTCCCTTTTCATTTGTCTCAAGTACCTTGGTATCTTTTTTGATCATTCACTTTATAAGAAAGAAAAAAAAACTTTTACAATCTATCATGTGTATCCATGTTTTCTTTGGTGTTTTTATTAATATAGATCATTTATTTATATCTTTGTTTCCAGAAACTAATACATTTAGCACAGTTGAAGCCCCGATGCTTTGGTTCTATTATAAACATACATGACAAGATAGAACCTAACAATCATTTGTAAATTTAAAAGTAATGTTAGCAATTTACATATATTCATCACATACTATGAAGGGAGGTAAACATTTATAATCTCTATATACACAAGAGTCTCTTCTTTGAACTGCTTTAAACTTTGAAGGCAAGTAATATTGGGTGAATATATACTCTTAGGTATTTTGTAACCACTAAGTTGGGAATTAGTCTAAGCATGAGGAATGCAGCAGTGAATTATTAAGACAAAAATATTTGCCCTAAAGAAACTAACATTCTTTTGGTTCTAACACTATGTGTATTAAAAGACTGTAGGGTTTGTGTCAAAAGCATGGCCGTCTTAGTTGGAGTGGCCTGAATTCAGAATTTGCCCTGTTGATGGCTGTAAGACACTGTAAAGTCACCTATCCTTTAAGTACCTCAGGTTTCCCGTTATAAAATAGAACTATAGACAGTTATCTTAAGATACTGCCGTCAAGATATAGCACGTAAAGTTTTTGCATAATGTTGGAGATATAATGTGCGCTTAATAAAAAGATAATTAGCATTTATTATCATGAAACAGATGACATCATTTGACATCAGTAAAACGCTAAGCAGTATTGATACAGGAGGTAGAAATAAATTATTTAGACAGTGAGGGCAACAGAGTTCTCAGCAGAGCTTCCCTTCTAACAAACAGCAATCCCCAAAATCATGTCTTTTATAACAAATAGCAGCCTGAAAAATCACGCTGAAAACATAAATAAGCAAGCTGGAAGCTTGCATGGGGGAATGGCAGCAGCTGTGCCAATAGAAAAGTCTTACCAGGGGTCAGCCATGTCCGGTATGGAGGTTTCATTTTCCTTTATTTTGTTACAGTGTGTACAGGAACAAAGGAATGGGCAACATGGCACACCTCAAGCAGAGAACCCACCTGCATGATAAAATATTAGGGTGGGGGCAGCCAGAAATTTGTGCCCTATCCAAATGCACACCTAGACCAAACCAGATCGCATGCCCTATGCAAATGCTGCACTGGTCCAACCAGTCTTTCTCGCCCTGTGTAAATCAGACACCACCTCCTCACGAGCTCATCTATAAAACCCTTTCATTTCACCACAGATTTGGCAACCCATTTCTCTGGGAGCCCTCTCTGCAGCAGAGAGCTCTTCTTTTTCTTGCACCTATTAAACTTCAGTTCTTAACTTCACTCTGTGTGTCGATATTCTTGTTCTCTATGGCCGTGAGACCATAAACCTCGGGTGATACTCCAGACAATGATGCTGTTTCATTGTGGAGGCCCATTGGGGATCCAAGGTAGATTCATTGGAAGGTTGAGTATAGAAGGGGACCCCCGATCCTTATTTTCCTTTGGGGGCTTTCTGCTCTCAATTTTAAAATCAAACTTAAAACTGAGTGTCTGATGGCCAGTTAAAGAAACCATTTGTGTGGCCAGTGTTCTTAAGATTCAGATGACAGGCTTGCTGGGGAGAACTTAGCAAATCCTCCTGAGTCTTCAGGGTGCTGGGAATATTGCCTCTGTTTCAAACTGTTTTCCTTTCACGGAGAGCCTAGCCATCATAAGGGGCTGGAAGAAGTCCAGAGCAACTGAGGGTTTCCGGCTGGGGCTACACCCCAATGTTATCAGGCTGCTGGACTAACACTAGCCTCTGACTGCCCAATGGGCATTGGCAGTAGGATCTTCAATCTTTTTCTATTGCAACTTTCCTCCTTTTCTTTCCTGGACCGTCTTGCCTCCTGTCCCCTCTCTGTATGCAATGCTGTGGAAATTTTTGCAGTTCAGGAAAATAATCCTATTAGGCAAGATCAGCAAATGCCATAGTAACCAGGAATATAGCTCAGGGGATTGGCATTTTTGTGATTTTCTAGGAACAGAGGATTTCCTCCCTGCCCCCCAACAGTTTACATCTCTCTCTCTATCCTTGGTCTGGAGAGCACATGGAGAGCACATTGTATTTCTTTCTTTTTTTTTTTTTTAGACGGAGTCTCGCTCTGTCACCCAGGCTGGAGTGTAGTGGTGCAATCTTGGCTCACTGCAGGCTCCACCTCCCAGGTTCAAGCTATTCTCCTGCCTCAGCCTTCCTACTAGCTTAGACTATAGGAGTGCACGACCACACCCAGCTAATTTTTGTATTTTGAGTAGAGATGGTGTTTCACCATGTTGGCCAGGCTGGTCTCAAACTCCTGACCTCAAGTGATCCGCCCACCTCGGCCTCTCAAAGTGCTGGGATTACAACGTGTGCCAATGTGCCTGGCCAGAAAGCACATGGTATTTCAAGACTTACAGTACCATCTAGTGGAATAGGGATCCTCTCTATGATGCATTTTGTTGGCCCTTTGCCAAAATACTCTAGTTTTCCAATTATCCTCCTTTTTGCACCCCTCTACTATAGACCAGGCTCTATGCTCCTTCTGTCAATGGGAAAACTCAACGATGAGGAGAAAAATATCTCCAAATCCAAATTTTAGACCCAACACTGTCCCATCAGCAGGAAAACTGCCATTTGGTCCCTATGTTCTTTCAAGGCATCTATTCTGCCTTATGGAATTAAAACAGTACTTAAAATAGTAAGGGGATTTTACATCCAGAAATTAACCAGAACCACTGTCTAAGAATACATGATTTAGTCAGGGCCAAAATAGCAGATTATAGAGCTCAACCCAGTACACTCTGTCCATTAAGAGACCTTGCCCAAATACAACTGTTACATAGTCTTTCCTGAGATTTATCTATTGGGGAGCCATGCAGATCACAAAAGCCTAGGAAGTCAAAGAGTAATCACCAACAGAGGCCTACAGGGGCATGTGAAAGTGTGACTAATGCCATCTCTTAGTTCCTCCAGATCCATGGCTGAGTGTCATGCCTGTATCCATGGGTGGCACCTTCAATGGATGCTGGGGCATATGAAACCAAAGAGGAAAAACAGTTGTGGGGGATGCTCCCACTGTCTTGTCCTCCACCCTGGGCCATTCCAAAGGAAATGAAGGAGACTAAAGGGACACCTTTTTCTCACTTCTCTTTCTAGATGGGTAACAAACAATTTCAGCCTGTACTCCTCTGGATTGCATTCTAAAACACTGGTACTCCTTTGACCCTGAGACTTTGAAGAAAGAATAGCTCATTTTCTTTTGCACAAGGGCATGGCCTTCTTATTATCTTGAACCAAACTGGCCTGCAGAGGGAAGCCTTGATTTCCAACAATTTGATGTTTTCTGTAGACTTGAGGGCAAATGGTCCAAGGTCCCTTATGTACAGGCTTTCTTTGCTCTGTGAGACAACCCAGAGCTTTGCAAGAATTACACAATTAACCCAACTCTTACAGCAGTCATATCAGGCAGGCTCAAAGGGAATAACTCCCTAAAACTAGAGAAGCAACTTCCAGGAGAACCATCTGAGGCAGCTATTGAGTGTTACGGCTCTTCCTTTCCCCCTTATTCAGGGCCACCTTCAACCACATCATCAGCTCTCCCATCTCCACCATCTCCAAAACTCCTTCTCCCCCACCTTCACTCTTATCCTTACAGGAAATGCCTAGTGGAGGTGATACCACTAGGGTCCCAGTTCCCTTCTCATTGCAGGACCTTAGGCAAATAAAGGGAGATTTTGGCCAATTTTCTGATGACTCCATAGAAACATAGAAGTTTTCTATGAAGTTTTTGGAAACATAGAAGTTTTCTAAAATTTAACTCAGGTGTTTGCCTCACGTGGAGGGATGTTATGCTTCTCCTAAGCCAAATCTTAACTGCAGCTGAAAAACAGGCAGCTCTGCAGGCAGCAGAGAACTTTATATACAAGCAATATGTCTCCTATTGTAGTTCAAAAAGGAAAAGAGAATATAGGCAAGGCAAAGAAATAGGGGCATCACCATTCCCAATAGAAAGAGAGGCAGTACCTGTTGACAACCCTAATTGGAATCACAATGACTCTACAGATGAATGGCAAATGAAACACTTTTTGATCTGCATATTGGAGGGCCTATGAACAACTAGGGCCAAAACTTTTAATTACCCTAAATGGTCTATGATAGACCAAAAGCCAGATGAGAATCCCTCAGCCTTCATGGAAAGACTGAAAGAGGCAATAATAAAACATACTTCCTTATCCCCTGATTCCATCAAGGGACGGGTAATCCTAAAGGGCAAGTTTATTACACAGGCACCTCCTGATATTAGAAAAAAACTGTAGAAGCAGGCTATAGAACCAGATAGCACCTTGAAAAACCTCCTAAGGGTAGCCACCTTGGTCTTTTATAATAGGGACCAGGAGGAGGCCCAGGAGAAAGAGAGGAAACACAAGAGAAGAACAAAGGCTCTCATAGCTGCTTTACAGGCTTGAAAAGTCCAGTATCCCAGAGGTGCATCCACTAGATGCTACCGGTGTGACAAGTCAGGGCACTTTAAGAAAGAGTGTGCAGGCAGTAAGAAGAAGCCACTTCAACTCTGTCCAGCCTGTGGCAGGGACCACTGGAGATTGCATTGTCCCCAGAGATGGAGGTCACCAGGTTCAGAACCAGTCTCACAGATGATCCAACAGGCCTGATGGGTCCTAGGGCTCAAACCCCCGACGAGTGGCTCAAATTGTCATTACTGCACCAGGTGATTCTGGAAATTGAAGGAAGGGAGATAGACCTCTTTCTGGACACTGGAGCTAGTCTCTCTCTTCTCCTCTGTAATCCAGTCCTTCCCTCTTCCTGTAGTATGACAATGATGGGCATCTCAGAAAAGATTCTAACCTAATATTTATCTCAACCTCTTAGTTGTAGTTGGGGGAACCTATTATTTACATATGATTTCTTAATCATGCCTGAAAGTCCCACTCCTTTATTAGGTGGAGACATTTTAGCTCGCATGGGGGGCAAGAATCCTTATAGCCCCAGGACAAACTCTTTGTCTCCCCCTGATGGAAGCTAATATTAATCCAGAAGTGTGGGCAACTCAAGAAAAACAGGTCCAGCTACAACCTTTAGGCTGGTCTGGATCTACCTTAAGGATCCCACTTCTTTTCCTAACCAGAGACAATATTTCCTAAAGCCAGAGGCTAGAAAAGGGCTAGAAGCCATTATTAATAACTGAAACTACAGGGCCTTCTCAAACCCTGAAACAGCCTCTGCAACACTCCAATATTAGGAGCACAAAAACCTAATGGAGGAATGGAGACTGGTTCAGGACCTCTGCCTCATTAATAAAACTGTAGTTCCAATTGACCAGTGGTACATAATCCCTACATGTTGCTAACCCAAATACTTGAGAGAACTAAATAGTTCATGTCCTAGATCTAAAAGATGCCTTTTTCTGTATACCATTACATCCTGACTCTCAATACCTGTTTACCTTTGAAGATCCCTCTGGCCAAACTCTCCAGTTAACAGAGATGGTGCTGCCTCACTTGTTTGGACAGGCATTGTCAAAGGACCTCTCTGAGTTTTCCCATCCTCAGGCCAAGGTCTGGCAATATATAGATAACATACTGCTCTGTGCTTCAACTGAGAAAGCTTCTCAGGAAGGCTCCAAAGCTCTTCTTAATTTCTTAGCTGATAGACGATATAAGGTGTCAAAATCCCAGGCCCAGCTTTGTCAAACCTCTACGAAGTACCTGGGTTTAGTGTTGTCTGAAGGGACTAGAACATTAGTAGAAAAAAAGCATTAAGCCTATTTTTTCCTTCCCCCAATCTAAAACCCTCAAGCCACTAAGAGGATTTTTGGGCATTACAAAATTTTGCAGACTAGGATACCTGGCTACGATGAGATAGCTTCCCCCTATGTCAACTCATAAAAGAAACTCAGGTGGCTAAAACTCATTTCCAAACTTGGGAACCTGAAGCTCAAAAGGCTTTTACTTAGCTAAAATAAGCCTTACTTAAGGCACTGGCCCTCAGCCTTCTCATAGGGAATGCCTTCAATCTTTATGTATCAGAAAGTAAGGGAATGGCTCTGGGAGTTTTATCTCAAGCCCAAGGACCAGCTCAACAGACAGTGGGCTACCTGCATAAAGAACTTGATTTAGTGGCTAAAAGATGGCCAGTATGCTTCTGATCCATTGCTGTAGTGGCCCTACTGTTGCTAGAAGCCACCAAATTAACCCTGGGAAATGGCTCAAGTGTTTATACCCCACATAATGTAGCAGGATTGCTGTCTTCCAGGGGGAGATTTGGCTAACAGTTGGCTCCTTAAATATCAGGCTCTGCTGTTAGAAGAGTCTACAATCCAATTAAAAACTTGTTCTCACCTAAACCCAGCCACTTTCCTCCATGAGGAAACTGGGGAACCTGAACATGACTGTAAACAAGTTGTGGTACAGACCTATGCAGCCAGGGAGGATCTCAGGAATACTCCCCTATAAGATCCAGACTGGACCCTCTTCACAGATGGAAGTTTCTTTGTGGAGCAAGGAGTCTGTAAGGCAGGAAAATCAGTAGTCACTCTGAACGATGTTATTGAAAGTGCATCTGTCTCTCCAGGCACAAGCACTCAACTAGCTGAACTGATGGATCTTACAAGAGCACTTGAATTAAGCAAGGGAAAGGTAGTTAACATTTACACTGACTCCAAGTATGCTTTCTCAGTTCTTCATGCTGCCATTTGGAAGGAAAGATATTTTCTTACTGCTAATGGATCACCTATAAAATACCACCAGGAAATTAACAGGTTATTATCCTCAATTTTCCTTTCATAAGAGGTAGCAATGCTGCATTGTAGCAAGGGACATCAGAAGGGAAAAGACGAAATAGCTAAAGGAAACAAGTTAACCGATAAGCCAGTCTAGTCAGTGGCAAGAAAGCCTCAGGGCTTCACCACACTTGAAGCCCCTGTAATGTGGGAAGACTCAATAAATTAAGCCTCAATGCTCCCCTAAATAGATAGAATGGGTCGTCTCTCAAGGGTATACTTCCCAGCCATCAGGGTGGGAAACTCCACTTGCCAGCCTCCAGCCAATGGAAATTCCTTAATATCCTTTACCAAACTTTTCACTTGGGAAGAGATAAAACTTAACAGTGTGACCTAAGATTGTTTTCAGGTGAGAACTTATTGAAAACAGTCAAGCAGGTTGTTCATGCTTATGAAGTGTGTCTTAAAAATAATCCCCTTAACAGGCAGCTCCTTCCTCCTCAACTCAAAGGATGGGAAGCTATTCAGAGGAAGTCTGGCAGATAAACTTCACCCATATGCCAAAAATGAAGAGAATCCAATATTTCTTGGTATAGGGAGATATTTTCACTAACTGGAAAGAAGCATTTACATGCCGTACAGAAAAGGCCTCTGAGGTAATAAAAGTGTTAGTTAATGAAATCATTTCCCTCTTTGGTCTTCCTAAGTACCTCCAAAGTGACAAAGGCCTCTCATTTAAGGCAGCTACCACACAGGGGGTTTAAAAACACTAGGATTACAGTGTCATCTCCATTGTGTTGGAGACCGCAGTCCTCAGGAAAAGTGGAGAAGACAAATGATATTATCAAGAGACACCTTAGAAAACTGTCTCAAGTGACTCACCTTCCTTGAGTCACTCTTCTCCCCTTGGCTTTACTGTGGGTAAGAAATACCCTTTTGAAGGTAAATCTGAGCCTTTTTGAAATGCTGTATGGATGGCCTTTCCTTACCTTTTCCTATTGGATCAGAAAACCTCTGAACTGGTTAAACATATAATCTCTCTGGCTCACTTCCAACAGGAATTAACACAATTAACATAAGCCCAACCCCAAGAAATAGGACCACCTTTAATCCAGGAGATTTGGTATTTGTAAAAGCTCACTCTTCTCTCTCTCTTTCCCTAAGCCTAAGCTGGGAAGGGCTTTACACTGTTGTTCTTTCAACCACCTTGGTGGTAAAAGTTACAGGAATGGACTCCTGGAAAGCTGAGGGAGCAACTCTTAACAGCCTAGTAGAATGTTCCAGATATCAATGTGAAGAAATAAAAGATCTTAAGCTGAAAATCATAAAAAAAAATAAGTAAATGAATGAGGGCTACTCCTCCTACTCAATCCCACCCCTAACTCACCAGATACATTCAGTCATTTCTACTTCTCCTCTCAAGATTTGGCATCAGATATTACAACTTCTTTTTAATGCATACTTTCAGGGAGACTTTGATTATCCTTGGAATTACAGTTGTAACTTCATAGACCCCAAAGGGAAATTCTATATCTTGGAGAGTAAAATTTAGATCAAAATTATGGATTATGTCACACTTGCAGGATTGCTATACTCACTCTGCTATTTGCAGTAGGACTATATAGTGTGGCACCTGCAGTGTAAAATTCTGGATGGAAAATTCTAATTGTTGTAATATTCTGCCTAATTACCACCTGAATAGTATAATTAATAATTATAGGAAAGATTTAAGCAAAGTTAACCCTAAAGTTACTCTAGCCACCCAATCCAATGCCACTTATCCTTAAAAAAGTTGCTTCTATATTAACGTTTCTGAGAAAGTACTGCGACATCTGGTGGATGGAAACCAGTATTACAATCCATGAGAATGGCTAACACGCATTGAACAAACTCTACTGTCATGGTTATGGCCTATAGTATCCCTACTAATAATGGTAATCTCAATACTCATATTCGAATCCTATATTCTAAACCTTCTTGTAAAATTTCTCTTCTCACCTAGAAGCTATTAAACTCCAAACGGTGCTGGCAGATGGAACCAAGCATGGACATGCCCTCCTTCCAAGGACCCTTCGATTGACCCCAGGAGGAGCCCTGGCTGCTGTTCCCCACATGACACCCCTCTTCAGCAGGGAGTAGTCAGAAAGAGTTCATCCAACACCCCCTAATAGCAGTTGGGATTTCAACTCCTTAGGGGGAAGATGATACAGGAGGTAGAAATAAGTTATTTAGGCAGGTAGTGAGGGGAACAGAGTCCTCAGCAGAGCTTCCCTTCTAACAAAAAGCAGTCTTCAAAATCATTTCTTTTCTAGCCTGGAAAATCAAGCTGCAAATATAGATAAGCACGCTGGAAGCTTGCATGGATGAATGCCAGCAGCTGCACCAATAGAAAAGGGCTATTTAGGGGCCAGGCATGTCCAACATGGAGGCTCCATCTTTCCTTTTTTTGTCACCACGTGTACAGGAACAAAGGAATGGGCAACATGGTGCAGCTCAGGCAGAGAAGCCGCCTGCATAATAAAAGTTTAGGGTGGAGGTGGCCAGAAATTCATGCCCTATGCAAATGACACACCTAGTCCCAACTAGTTTTTTGCACCCCACACAAATGGCACACCTAGTCCAACTAGTCTTTTGCACCCTATGTAAATCAGACATTACCTCCATACCAGCTCATCTGTAAAGCTCCCTGCATTCCACTGCAGATTCAGCAACTCACTTCTCCGGGACCCCTCTTTGCAGCAGAGAGTCCTTCTCTTTCTTTCACCTATTGAACTTCCACTTTTTTTTTCTTTTTTTATTTTATTTTATTATTATTATACTTTAAGTTTTAGGGTACATGTGCACATGTGCAGGTTAGTTAATATGTATACATGTGCCATGCTGGTGTGCTGCACCCATTAACTCGTCATTTAGCATTAGGTATATCTCCTAAAGCTATCCTTCCGCCCTCCCCCGACTCCACAACAGTCCCCAGAGCACTCTTAACCTCACTCTGTGTGTGTCTACATCCTTGTTCTTCGTGGCTGTGAGACCATGAACCTCAGGTGATACTCTATGCAACAATGCTGTTTCAATATTACTCAAAATGATGATTTAAAAATACTGAGAAATTACAATATAAATAATTTGACAAAGATTGCATAGGTAACCAGGATTAGAACTTATAAGTGCCTCACAAGTCCTTTGTCTTACATCACACTGGTTTCCAAATAGTACAGATGACTAATCGCATTTGTATCTTTATATCAGGAATCAAATTTAATAGCAATTTTACAACCTCAATGCTTTTCATTAAGTTTGGGGTAAAAAGAAAAAAGAGTTCTCATATCATAATCCTTAATTAAGATAGGCAATAACACATTTTCTGATACTTAAAATTGATTATTTCTGTGAGTAGACATTAATCCATATAAATTTATGGGGTATATTAAATTCTATCTATATAATCATTATATTAATATTTTAATAAAATAACATAGACTCAAAAAACAAACCAAATATATTGAGTTACATTTTCCATATTATCAGTTTGGCATCTTCATAACCTTCAATATTTTAAATAAATTGTATAAATAATAAAGATTTTGTATATAATTTTAGCATTTTGACTGATAAATTATAAGCTTCATAAGCTACATAATGTCCATGTAGCCCCAGTGTTTACATTGAATAGAAAGTAGATAAGTAACTATTGAATGAATAAATATGGTCTAAAAGTTAATTTATTAGTATTATTAAAATTTAATGGTAGCTGAACATGTTACTTAAAGCCAACAAATTCCTGGTTCATTTCATAAGGCTTAAAAAGGTGAATGAATGTTTAAAATTATATGCTGCACCTTTTCCTAATGCTGCTTTGTAGACTAAGTAGAAACATTTTCTGTAATTATTTCAGGGCAAAATAATTTAAGAGGATTAGGAGGTTAGATAAAATTAAACGTATTCTGAAATACCCTCTCTGAAATAAACTAATTGCCTTTATGTGTCAAGTATTATAAATGAAAGCTATTAAAGGCTTAAGCCCCTTCTTTCATTTGCTTTAAATGAGCTTAACCATCTATATGCAAAACCTTCCATTGACTTCCCAGAATACTTAGGAAAAAAGAACTCAAATATTTCATTATGACTATCAAGATTCTAAATAAATATCACTACCATTCTTGCTTTGTTTGCAACATTCTCCCTACTCTCTTACATCACCCTGGTGTAAATAGACTTCAATTTTTCTGTGCCTTGAATTTTCACAATTAATGTTGCCTTAGGACCCTTGAATTTTTGTTTTATAAACCTAGAATTATCTTCTCAAAAGAATTCCATGTACCTTGCTCCTTTATATATGACAATACTCTTCTGGGAGGATTTCTTGATCCACTCTTGGCAAAAGTGGCCCCCTTTCTCCCAAATTTATCTGCATTTGCCTTTATATATTTTTAAATAAAACATAAGCACTCTCAAAGAAGGTATTACTCAAAAGTCTTTTATGTAAGTTTATTTAGTTATTCTGCATCTATAGAGACAAGGAAAAGTAGTGAGTATGTAACATAAATGACTTTTGTGAATTCGTATTTTGGGGAGGGGTTCAAACTATTACAGTAGAGTTCTTATAGTTAATGGCATGTGCTTCCTGAGAATGTTTTCAAGTCTGTCTATAAATGTTGCTTGTGATTTAAGGTGGGTAGATGAACCAAAATCAAGTTTAAAGTGTCTACATGTTATCATTTATCTTATAATTATCAGTACCACAATGACAGTACCTATTTTAATATTCTACATTGTGAATGACAGCATTATGGCCATATGTATTAAAATATTTTCTATATGTTAAATCGGGAACATAGCCAAAATCTGTTACACTGTTTCCCTATTCAAAACAACACACTGACAGTCAAACTTTTTCTATATTTATCTTGTTTGATAATTGGGAACAGCATTATTCCTAAGAATTGCTTTCAGCCCCTCAGATGTTAAAATCAGATGTAAGGAAACAAAGTTCAAAGCCACTATTTTTTACTTGACTGATAAGATTTAGTTTTTTGATTCAAATTATACTTATGTGCATAAAATATATAGTAGATATCTACATATAACCTTTTATATTACTAACATATTAAATTAGATTTAAAATCTTAAGTTATCTTGTGGGTTGTTATATGTTTAAGAAAGACTCTAGAGCATATCTAAATGTTGAGCTTTAGTTAAATCTATGTTCTTACCCAGGGAACATCCCTTCTCTAATAAGTAAGTGTATTTCAGACATACCATTAAAATAGGTAATAATTAATAGGACACTGTAAATGATTTAGCAAGTGGCAAATATAAGGAAGCTTAACAGGATTTAATTGTACAAATCTAAAACCCCCCATAATGTTCCTTAATGACTTTCCAGTAATTGTGCTAAATGACTAATTTAGTGTTAGCTATCTTTCAAATTACATTCAGGTGTGAAAACATGTGAACGTTTACTACCTTTAAAGTTCTCCCTGGGATTTAGCGTTAGGTCCATTTATTTATTTCTTAAAAATATTATCATTGTACCTCCTCATAACATTTCCTTGCTTTCAAAATTATTGAACCAAAGTATAAAAGATCAAACTACAATCTTATTTTCTGCTAAATTTCACATGAAGTACTGGAGGAAATTTTTAGAACTCCATATAAATTTGTAGTGTTTTAATTTATACCTATGGGGTATAATTATTTTTATAGTATAAATTCATAAAAATTATACTTTTTAGCACCTAAAGTGCAATCATATTGAGTTCTAAAGAGTTACAGTAATCAAATATATATGTGTAAGTGGATTTGTGTGTATTAATATGTGTGTATACATATATGTAAAACAAATATGCAAGCACACACACACATTTAGTTTTGCATATTTCAAAGTACGTAAACATTTTATTTCACTACTCTATCTATATAATCATCTGCAATTTATGGTTTTTGACTTAAGTTATTTGTGAGATTTATCCAAGTTCATACATGCAACAGCAGGTTTTTTTTTCACTTTAACTGTATGTTGTGTTATTATGTTTTGCTACTAAAACCAGTGGTGCAATCCACATTCTTATCTATCATCTCCTTGTACATGTATGTGAGATGTACAAAATGACACAAGATGTTTTTCTGAGATATCTATTCTGGAGTGGAATTCTCGGGAAAAAAGGTATGTCCATCTTCATCTTTCCTAAGTGTTGCCAAATTGCTCTCCTGTAAGATGTATCAATTTATAGCCCAATTTACACCATCAAGTTTCAACTTTTCACACCCTCACCAGGTCTGGTAGTATCCTTTCTTCCTTCTTTCCTTCCTTCCTTCTTTTCTAAGTCCCTCCCTTCTTTTTTCTTTTTCTGTCTTGCTTCTTCCTTTATTAAATCTTACTCTTCTAGAGAATGTGAAAATATATCTCATTGCAGGTTTTCTTATTCCTTTATCTGTAGTAACTTAAAATATTTGCTCAGTGTTTTCTACTTTTTCTGCTCTGTAAATTTCCTATTCACATCTTTTGTCCCATGTCATAATGAATTTTAATTGATTTTGTATGGATTTGTAGAAGTTACTTTTTCTATTTTGTATATGACATCTTTTTCCATTGTATGTCTTTTCCTAAATATCAGCTTATCATATTACATGTGTTCTATCTATTTTCACATAAAGATTTTCATTTTAATTTTGTAAGATGTATTCTTCATTTGAACAAATCTGCGTTTTATCTTGTTTTGGTAGATTTTTCAATCCTTGATGTCTGTAGGAAGTCTCTGTATTAGAAATACAGTTGTCATGTATTTATATCAGAGTATCATGTATTTATATCGTAAACATCAGAGGTCCTGAGCCCACAAGATTTTTGTAACAAAAAGTCTCAGAATCTAACTTATTAAAATCTTCATTATAAATTACTGTTTACTTGAAAGGAAAATGTTAAAGCTTTATTTTAAATAGTAGCTATAGGAGTGGATAATTTGATACTATTATATGTATTTTCCTGTAAGTACGTAATTCATATTGGAGAAGAAATATATGCCAGTTAAGTATATTTTAACTACCAAAGCCTAAGGGCTTTGTTGAAACATTACACTTTATTAGCAAATGTTCATATTTGAAATATTTATCAATTGATCAAATCCTATTTGAGTATTTTTTTCTGTTAAGGATTAAACTAAGAACAAATAAAAAAATTTTCACTCCTAGTATGTGGAATTTATTGAAATAAATTAAATATTCATGGATAATAATATATTTAATGAGGAAAAACACAGAAATAATTTATCATGTAAAAACTATAAAGTTTACACTCTTTATGACCTTATTCTCATTTGCAGATGATTTCTAAAACAGTAAGTATATTCATTTTTATCAGCTACAGTTGTAAGACACAAAATAAGATTGGAAAGTTTAGAATTCTCAATAAAATGTTCACTGAAGTAAGCATTAGGAATATATATTTCTAAAAGTTCAATGCATATATTTTGAGGTACGTGCTTAACATTCATTATTTATTTCTATGCATATAAATGGTATTTGTGTGGATGTGTGTTTCCATTGAGTTACTTAGAAAAAAAGTCTAAGAACACCAGAAGGCCAGGTGCAGTGGCTCACACCTGTAATCCAGGAACTTTGGGAGGCCGAAGTGGGCGGATCACAAGGTCAGGATATTGGGACCATCTTGGCCAACATAGTGAAACCCCGTCTCTACTAAAAAATACCAAAAATTAGCTGGGCATGTTGGCCTGCGCCTGTAATCCCAGCTACTCGGGAGGCTGAGGCAGCAGAATTGCTTGAATCAAGGAGTTGGAGGTTGCAGTGAGCAGAAATTGTGCCACTGCACTGCAGCCCAGCCTGGTGACAGATCAAGATTGTACCTTAATGAAAACAATCTTGTTTTAGTGGTTCAATATTTGTTTTCTTGGTTAAGGATTTAGTCTTAAGAATAATCAATATTCAAAGGCCAAGAAGGAAATGCAATGTTTAAAATGCGAATAAAATAATGGCTAATTGCGAGACTGTTTGACTCCTAAATGTGTTTATTTAAATACCTATTTATTTAATTGTATCCGTAGTAAACGTTATTGAAATTTAGGACCAAAAGCAAAAAATATTGATTAATCTTAATCTTTGTTATTATCAGTGCGTAAATGTGTGTGTACATGAGTCTTCTATTTTGATTATTTATTATTGTAATTCATTCTTACATTTCTTTTTCAAAGTGATGAACATCTGCTAATCTACTCTCTAATACAGGAACTAGTAACTTAAAGGTACCTGTGCACCACTCCCCTGGACTGCCTAATGCATCCTTCTTGGTGGCAAGTACTATCTTGTATTTAATATTTATCACGTCCTTTTTACACTTCTCAACAGTCTTATCACATATGTATGCATGCATATATAATACCTTAGGTAAATATACTTTGAACTACAGACATGCAATATGATACAATATATAATCATCCATAAGTTGATTTCTTTATTTTTATTTTTTTTTGAGACGGAGTCTCCCTCTGTCGCCCAGGCTGGAGTGCAGTGGCGCGATCTCAGCTTGCTGCAACCTCCGCCTCCCAGGTTCAAGCAACCCTCCTGACTCAGCATCTCGAGTAGCTGGGACTACAGGCGTGTGCCACCATGCTGGCTAATTTTTGTTTTATTATTATTATTATTATTTTAGTAGAGACAGGGTTTCACCATATTGGCCAGGCTGGTCTCAAACTCTTGACCTCGTGATCTGCCCGCCCTGGCTTCCCAAAGTGAAGTTGCTTTCTTTTACGCAATATTTCATTCTCAAAATCCAGCTATGCAGTTGCATATCGCTACCATCTTTTATTTTACTGCTATAAACTATTCTATTGTTTGAATATACTACAGTTCATTTAGCCAATGAATATCATATACAATGTTGTATGACTTCCAAGGTTTTTCTATTCTGAAAAGTGAGGCTATGAAGCATATCTCAATAGCTCTTTTTTCATTAAGTTTATTTGTCTGATATTAATTTCTTTTGTTTATTTTTAAATCTTTTTTATTTCGAGATAATTGAAGATCCACATAAAACTGTTCAATGTAATGCAGAGATTCCAAGCACTCTTCAACAAAGATCCCCCAATAACGACATCTTGCTAAACCGTAGTACAAAATCACAACCAGAATATTGACATCGATACAATCTAGCAATTTTACCTAAATTCCCCCTGCTTGGCATGCACTTGTTCATCTGTACATGTGTGGTTTTACATCTTTGTAATTTTTTCAGGTGTGTAGATTAATGCATCCACCACCACAGTCAATATACAGAGCAATTTAATTATCATAAGAAATTGTGGTGATTCCCTTTTTTCGCCACACCTACCTCACTCTTTCTCCTCACCCACCCTGGTCTCTAATCCCAGCAAACACTAATTTATTTTTCCATTTCCAAAATGTATCATTCCAGGAATGTCATAGAAGTGGAATCATACACTACGAAACGTTTTGTGGTTAGCTTTTTACACTCAGCCTACTTCCCTTGATAGTCTTCTAAGTTGTGTGTACAAATAGATTGGTCCTTTTTACTGACTAGTAGTATTTCACAGCATGAATGTGCCACAACTTGTTTAACCCCCAAACCAGTGAAAGACATCTGGATGACTTTTGTCATCATGAATAAGGCTGCTATGAAAATCTATATGCTGATTTTTCTGTGAATATGTTTTTATTTTGAGGAGAAATATCTACGAGTACAATTTCTGGGCCATATGATAACTACATGTTCAGTTTTATAAGAAAATTCCAAAGAATTTTCCAGAGTAACTATATTATTTTACAATCCCAACAGAAATGTATGAATAATCTAGCTTCTCTGCAACATTCCCTTAATTTAGTCATTACTTTTCATTTTGGCCATGGTGATAGTTGTGTAGTGATATCTTTGGTTAATTTTAGGGTATATCTTAATCATTATTTCATGCATTATTCACAATATCCAAGAAATGGAAACAATCTAATTGTTCATCAGTTGTTGAATACATAAAGAATTGTGAATAAATAGAATATTGTTCAGCCTTAAAAAATCCTTCTATTTAAGACAACATGGATTAAATCAGAGGACTTTATGCTAGTGAAAATCAATCAGAAACAGACAGAAAAGTACTATATAATTTCACTTGTAAATGGACTTTTTAAAATTCATAGAAGATGGTGGTTATCAGGTCGTGGGTAGAAGAAGGGGAAAATGAGGAGATGTTGGTCAAACGGTACAATGTTGCAATTATTTAAAATAAATAGTTCTGAAAGTCTAATGCACAGCATAGAGACTAAAGTTAGTGCTACTGTATGGAATACTTGAAATGTGCTAAGAGCATAAATCTTAAGTGTTCTCACTGAAAACAAAAATAAATAAAAATGTAACTCTGTGAAGAGTTCTGCATGTGAATTAACTTGAATGCAGTAATCTGTTTATTATGTATATTATATTAAATCATTACACAATACACTTTAAATATATAACACTTTTCTTTTTTTCTTTTTCTTTTTTTTTTTTTTTTTGAGACATGGTCTGTCTCTGTCACCCAGACTAGAGTGCAGTGACACAATCACAGCTCACTGCAACCTCCACCTGGCGAATGAGCTGTGGGCGAATGAGCATTACTACCTGAGTTTCGCCTCCTGTCAGATCAGTGGCAGCATTAGATTCTCACAGGACCGCAAACCCTATTGTGAATTGCACATGTGAGGGATCTAGGTTGTGTGTTCACTATGAGACTCTAATGCCTGATGATCTGAGGTGGAACAGTTTCATCCTGAAGCCACCCCCCTTCCCAATCCATGGAGAAATTGTCTTCCACAAAATCGGTTCCTAGTGCCAAAATGGTTGGGGACCACTAGTCTATGGTAGATTTAGCTCTGCAACAGCAGAGTTGAGTAGTTGCAAAAGAGATCACATGTCTGGCAAAGCTTTTTTTTTTTTTTTTTTTTTTAACTATCTTATCCTTGCAGAGAAGTTTGCCAGCCTCTGTCCTGTAGGAAAACTTCCCAGTAAGAAAGATAGAAGCCATCCCCTTTCATGACTAAGCCTAGGAAGTCTCATAACTCACTTCTGGCATAGTAGTAACCTGCTAAGATTAAAGAGAAGAGGGATTAAACTCTACTTTTAAAAAGGGAAGAGGGAGGTTCCAGAAAAACCTGTGGAACAATAGATATGCTTACAGCCATCTTGTAAAATACGAACTTCTAATGGCTAGATTGTGATTTGTTTCGTAAAAATAGTATTCCAAAAAACAAATGAGGCAGTTCACAAGCAAGGAAGTGATTTTTTTTCATCATAAAAATTTGTTAATGTGTAGCTTAGAGATGTTTTCTACTAACAGAATAATTCATCAAAAATAAAATACAATATTACTTTTTAAATAAGGCCTTACATTTAAATTCACTTTTAAACTGTGTCTCTATGGTGTACCAAACAGGCTAATATTCTTCTTAAACTAAGTTTTTAAAATAGAAAATGTCAAGATGTATACAAGACAATACAAAAAGTAGCCAACCAAAGTTAACTGATTATACTCACATTAGTCCTTTGAGTGTAATTTTCCTATTCTCAGAGAATTTTGCTTAAAAATTGGGTACGGGATTTTATTTTTTTTATGGCTGAATAGTATCCCATTTTGTATATATACTGTATTTTTAATCTGTTCATTCACTGATGGACACAGGTTGATTTCCACCATCTTGGCTATTACAAAACATGCGGCAATAAGAAGGAGTAAAGATATATCTTCCATATATTGATTTTATTTCCTATGGATATATACCCAAATAGTGGAGTTGTTAAATCACATAGTAGTTATATTTTTCATTTTTTGAAGAACCCCATACTGTTGTACAAAATGTCCGTAATAATTTACATTTCCACTGACAGTGTATGAGAGTTCTTATTTTCTCGACATCCTCACCAGCATTTGTTATTTTTTGTCTTTTTTATAATAGCCATTTTAACTCAGGTGAGGTGATGACTCATTGTCAGTCTGATTTGCATTTCACTGATGATTAGTGATTTGAGCACTTTTTCAACTACTTGTTGGCTGCTTGTTTATCTTCTTTTGAGAAAGATGTATTCAGATCTTTTGCCCATTTTTAATCAAACTATTTGGCTTTTGCTACTGAGTTGTTGGAGTTTCTTGTATATTGTGCATATTAAGCCCTTGTCAGATAGTTTGAGGATGAAACCCTGCCACTTGTGACAACACGGATGAACTTAGAGGATATTATGTTAAGTGAAGTAAACCAGGTACAGAAGGACAAATATTGCCTGACCTGACTCATAGGTGGAATCTAAATAAGTCAAAGTCATAGATATAAAGAATAGAATCAGTGGTTACCAGAAACAGAAGATGGTAGGGGAGAGGGATAAAGGGAAATGTTGATCAATGAATACAAAGTTATAATTAGAAGGAATGAGTTCTGGTGTTCGATTGCACAATAGGGTTACTACAGTCAAGAGTAATGTCTTATATATTTAAATAGGGAGGGGAAGAAATAATTTTGAATGTTCTCACCACAAAGAAATGACAAGTGTTTGAGGTCATAGATATGCTATTTACCCTGATTTGATCATTTTACAATGTATTCAAATATGAAAATATCACACTGTACCCCATTAATATGTACAATTATATGTCAATTAAAACAGAACTTAAAAAGTAAAGATGGGATACACACAGACACACTGTTGTTGAAAATGTAGTTTTCACTAATAAACATTTTCTGACACTTCTAATTTGCTTAAATAAGGAATATTGTTATATGGTTAGTTACTAACAGTTTGTACTTAATATAAAATGTGTAAAATACATTTCGAAGATACTATTTAGTTCAATTTTCATAATTTTCTAAAGTAATATGCTTTAAAATTTACTTTCCTTAAATCAAATGTAGGTCTTCATAAATCAACATACGAAGTTGCAGAAAGTATTAATGGTAGGTTCTAGTATTTGATAGTACAGTAAGGAAATTATTGTTAATAATAACTTATTGAATATTTCCAAATAGTAAGAAGAGAAGAATTGTAATGTTCCCACACAAAGTAAAGATAAAGCTTTGAGGTGATGAAGATCTCAATTACTCTGATTTGATCATTACAGATTATATAGGTATCAGAATAACACATGTACTTTCAAAATATATTCAACTATCACATATCAATTAAAATCCTTAAAGAGTAAGTATAAGAGAATTTAGTAGGTTTATAAAAGTAATTAAAATGTTTTTCATATTTTTTAAAAAATTAGATAATAATAGTTTCAATAGGGATGTTTAATGCTTTTACTTAATTCCTTTGCTCTCTTTACTATTTTAATCTTTATATGCACTCTGAATAATGTGTATCTAAGATAAATAGTCACATTAAGAATACAAAAATTATCTCATTTTAGTATTGTTTACTCTGCACATACACATAGAACAGATTAAGGACAATTATATCAAAAAAATTACAGATATTGATGCAGGTATTTACAGATCATGTAATAGCAAGAATTTTAAATAAGTCATTTTCAATTTTATTTTATTCTACTTTATTTTTAAAAAACTTTTGGTGTTTTTAAAAAATTTCTTAGAGATGAAAGATAAACTCTTTTTTTGTTTTCTTTTTCTTTCTTATATTTTTTTTGAGACAGGGTCTGGCTGGCTATGTCACTCGGGCTGGAGTGCAGTGGGGTGATCTCAGCTCTCCGCAACCTCTGGCTCCCTGGCTCAAGAGATTCTTGTGCCCTCAGCCACCCAAATAGCTGGGACTACAGGGACTTGCCACCACGTCTGGCTAATTTTTGTATTTTTTATAGAGACAAGTTTTCACCATGCTGCCCAAGCTACTATTGAATTCCTGAGCTCAAGCAATCCACCCACTTCAGCCTTCCAAGGATTTTTAATTGATATGTGATAGTTGAATATATTTTGCAAGTACATGTGTTATTTTGATACCTATATAATGTGTAGTGATCAAATGAGAGTAATTGAGATCTTCATAACCTCAAAGCTTTCTTTTCTTTGTGTGGGAACATTACAATCCTTCCCTTCTTACTATTTGGAAATATTCCATAAGTTATCATTAACTATAATTTCCTTACTGTACTATCAAATACTAGAACCTACTATTAATACTTCCTGCAACTTCGAATGTTGATTTATGAGGACCTACGCTGGGATCACAGGCATGAGACACCACTTCTAGCCGTCTTGTTCAATTTTAAATATGCTGCCTACCTGTTGAACAGTTGATATAGAGTATTTCCTAATAAAAATGTTTATAAAGTTAGTAGTCAATATAGTAAGAAAAGTAGTTTTAGTTATTACAGTTTTTAATTGGCAGCAGATGTTGATAACCAGTAAAACTTTACATAGGGTTTGTATGTAATATGTGTAGTACATATTTACTAAATGACTTACACACAATTTCTAACTCACAAATTTTATTTTAAATTATGCATTTAATTTTTGTCAGTTAGTTTAGTTATTGAAATTTTCAAGTAAAAAATTATTCACACTTATTAAATGGGAATTTGAAGAGATAAATTCTAGGTAAAAATGTCAGGTATGGAGATGGTTCCCAGAATAATCAGTACCCTTTCATAAGAACTTCTTAGTGGGATCATCACTCTAATTCCCTCCTTTCCAGTCATATTTCTTAAAGAGTCATCTACATTTTCCCCTTTCAACTTATTTGTTTATTACTGTCTACTCAACACCGCATTCTGACTAAAAGCATCAGTGGTTCATAATTGTCAACCACAATTACACTTCTACTAGCCTCATTCTATGATAACTTTCCAGAGCATTTGCATCACTCCTCAAACCTTGAAACCATCTTCTGCAACATCTGGGGCTTCTGTGAACTCTACATAGAATTTACTCTTATGCAGTAAATCCTACATAGAATTTACTCTTCTGTTTTGCCTTACATTTATCTGAATCCTTATTTTCTATATCTTTAGTCTTCTAGTTTTTCACAACTTATCCTCTTAAAACTTCAAATTTTCTAAAGTTCAAATCTTGTCTTTTCCAATTTCATACTATACCTGTCTTTGACCTGTTAAGAGAAATGATGTAATTTGTATGTTCATAGCAATAAAAATTAATATTATTGCTATTTTAATTTAATGTTTATTTTTTCTTGCTCTTATACATAATAGTTCATAAAATATATAAAATATGCGACTTTAATGTAAATAATTTTTGGAGAAAATCTTTTATAAGTAATAAACAGTCATTTTTGTGGCTGTGTCTGCTGGTGTGTTAAATTTCACCAGCTTTTGACATAAAAAATACTTGAGTGATATAGCTTTTATAGTAAGAAAAGCTCTTTTTACTTAAAATGGATGGCTAAATGTAAAAAAGATCTTTATTAAATACAAATAATGTTGTATTTCATTAGCTAATTTATCAAATATTTAAATGATTGGCTACGATTTGCTTTAGGCAGCCTAATTTATCCAGGCTGGCTTTTTTAACATTTATATATTTTCTTAATTCTTCTGGTAGCCCTCCGATTTTCCTTGAGGCAATACCCACATTGTATAGCAGTCACATAGGTTCTTTGTTTTTATATTATTTACAAAAGTGTATATGTTTAAGTTGTACAACTTAATGTTTTCATCTACTCCCTTCTGGTATTGCTGCAAACATATCTGAAAATGTAGACGCAGCTTTGGAACTGGGTAATGAGCAGAGGTTGGAAGTGTTTAGAGGGCCTCAAAAGAAGACAGAAAGTTGAGGGAAAGTTTGGAACTTCTTCAAGACTGGATAAATGGTTGTGACCACAATGCTTATAGTGATATGGACAGTGAAGTCCAGGCTGTCAGGGTCTCTGCTGAAAATGAGGAACTCCTTGGGAACTGCAGCAAAGGTCACATGTGTTACACCTTAGCAAAGAGTTTGGCTTCATTCTGTTCACATCCTAGAAATATGTGGAAGTTTAAGTTTCACAGTGATGATTTAGGGTATCTGGTGGAAGAAATTTTTAAGCAACAAAGCATTCAAGAAGTTGCCTGGCTGCCTCTAATAACCTATGCTCAGGTGCAGGAGCAAAGATATTACTTAAAGTTGAAACATATTTAAAAGAAAAGCAGATCATACGGTTGGATTTTCATCCATTTTATTTCATTGTTGTATTTTCTAGTTCTGGAAGAGGCCAACCTCCAAATCCCAGCTGACAGCTGACCAAATTCCTATGTGTAATCAACTCAACCAAGGTCAACAAAGCTGCCTTATTGACTTATAAATGATCCTACAAATGAACACTGTTATGAACACTATTGCCATATGCCAGCTCCCTTTTAGTAATAACAAACTAATTCCATTCTGCACACTTTATATCCACTAAAACTGAGAAATGCAACAAAATAGAATACCCTGTTTGGTTTGATTTATACACACACATGCACACACACACACACATGCACATATCCCCACACAAATATACATAAGAACTTTTATACCTCCTATTTTCCATGAAATGTTATTCTACACATAGTGATTAACAACTAATAAAGTCAATTCTGCACACAGTATTCAAAAGTATACATTTTCTAATAATATGAAACCACTCTTTAACAATGAAGCATATTTTAGACTTCTTATTAAATTAAGGAAGAGCAATAACAATTAATTTGGACATCTGCAGTAAACCTGATTAATCCCTCCTATGAGGAAATATTGATATAAAGATGCTGAAAAAATGTATAGCAAACAAAAATGAGTAGCAAAAAAGCCACTTATTTTCAAAGAGCAAATATTTACAAAAGGTATAAATAGCACGTAAAAACCATGTGTCTCTAATTTACACTTACTCAGCTATTATGCTAAGAAATAGTTTTGCATAGTATCCACAATTTATAATTATGCCTCACTGATACATTAGTTAAATGCATGGCAAATGTCCTGCTTGATTTTGAATTAGCAACATCAAAAGCTGATTTATAAATCTTTTACTGAACATTTTAATTCTTTTTAGAAAGAAAGCCCTTTGGCTATAACAAATAAAATACAGTGCATGCTAAGTCAAGTGTATCTGTTCTGCATGGTTTTTGTCATCACATCTGGGCACCATACAAAAAAGAAAACATGATTAAAATAGAAATGCTCCCAGTGGCCCAAAGAGAAGAAGCCAATATGTCAAAAATAAAATATATATATATTATTCAAAAGAACAAATTAAAGTTAAGACAGGATTTAAAATGTGGCTATGAAATAAGATAAATTCATAAAAATAACAGCTGGAACGCTAAGCTAGTTCTCCTACAAAAGAACTTTAGAAAAACAATGTCTAAACTTTCCTCCTAGTCAAAGAAACATACTGAAATGTTTTTAATATTATTCAACAAAGTAGTTAAATTATTAAAATAGTGCCCTGTTTATTATTTTAAACTATTATTACTACATTAAAGCTTTAATTCGTGTAGTTTTATTATAAAGATAAGTTAAAACTATGAGACATTTGAATTCATCAGCAATTGACTTCCACTTAATCTGGTTTCATTTATGCAACAATTCCACAAATGTTTGTTGGATACCTACTATTTCCTATACACTGCTCTAGTTGTTAGAGACAGAATAGTCAGTAAAACTGGCAACATATCCTTATGAAACTATTTACTGAGGACAAACAAAAGTAGTTTAATAAGCAGAAACAAAAATATATACTTTGTTAGCTAAAGATTAATACCCTAAAAAAAATAAATAGGATCAAAGGCATAGTATGTAGAGGATTATTATCTTATGAGGGATCATTAGGAATGACCACTATGATAATGTAAAATTTGAGTGGAGACTGAAGGATATAAAAGGGGAAGTCAGGCCGATATTTGAGTGTTGTGGGTTGAATTGTGTTCCCCTAAAACATCGTTATTTCCATTTAGTCAGTATTCTACCCTTTCTATTCCTAGTCTTTAAATATTTATGCCTACCATGTTACATTGTATTGAACATTATTGTTCAACCAACTTCAAGAAAAATGATTTATATGTGTGGAATTTTACTAGTAAGGTATAATACGCATGATAAAAATTGTAGGACTAATATTAAACATCAGTTTATTATAATCTGAATTTTACACAATTGTAACCTTATAATCTACGACCTTATTTGTGTTCCAGGAGTTTTTGCACAGAAGAATGAATAAAATGCTGAAATAGGAGAAATAATATAGTCAACACTAAAATTTTATCACATAAGAAGGCATAGGTCTAATAGAAGTATGGAAATAAGCCTAAATTTTATGGCAAATGTGAAATCATATTTCAATCTGAGACTATTCATAATGAAGCAAGTTCATTTGTGTATAAGTTTAAACATGGCAGGAAAACACTAGCTTACAAATGCAACACATTTCTTTCTGCATTTTTCATACCCATGTTCTCTAACAAATCCCTGTTTCAAAGATGGAAAATTTAGTCCTCCTCAACAATCCTCAAGGGTGACACTGATACCTAAGAAAATTATGCCTAAGGAAGCTCTAAGATATTTTTATATTACAGCTGTTTATGATTTTTATATGAGCAGTAAGTAAAGGTATATTTCCTGCAATCTCAATTTTAATTTGATGCTTCTCTTTCTTAAAAAAATTATACACACACATATGTACCACACATATGTACATACACATAATTATATTGATGCATATAGATATATATTATCTATTTTTACCACAAATACTAAACAAGGGACTACATTTCTTTTTTAATTTATAAAGAAGTTTATTTGGCTCACAGTTCAGCAGGCTATACAAGAAGCATGGCTCTGGCATCTGCTTTTGGAGGGCCTCAGGCTGCTTCCACTCATGGCAGAAGGCAAAGGGGAGTCGCCATGAGCAGAGACCACATGGCAAGAAAAGAAGCGAGAGAGAGAGAAGGGAAGTATCAGACTCTTTTTAACAACACAGTTAGCTCTGTGGAACTAATAGAACAGGAACTCACTCATCTCCTCCCCTTGGGGGGCATTAATCTATTCATGAGAGATATCCCCCCATGACCCAAACATTAGGGTCCCCAACAAAGGACTAAATTTAAATATGCATTTGCATGAGTACGTCCTTATAAATGATTCAGTGTGTTAATTAAATGTTTTACAAATAGTTAAGAAAACAATTAAGCATTATACATTCTTCTAAACCATATCAACAAATAGGACTAGAATACTTATGGAATAGGTTTATAGCTGATACTTCATTTTCTGAGTCTATTCCAGAGAAAGAGCCAACAGAGGGAGACTTGGTCTCCTTCCTTTAGGAAATAATACATTTACCTCATTTTATTTATTTGTTCAATAATTTCATTTTATACTATGGACTTATAGATACTCATTCTTTGGTTATAACTCAATAATATTATTACTTATGTTGTTAAGGTATTTGTTTGTACTTTGGCCATGTGAGCACTCTCAGATTCATATTGGGTCTTGTATCTTTTAAATCTACCCTTTTTCAAATTTGTTTGAAGGACAAATTCCTCACTTTCTGACACTACAGTGTGTTCCACACTCATCATATATTTTCGATACCTTAACTCTAGCATCAGCTACGTACCCAAAGTTAATTGTCTCAATAATTATTTCAACGCTACACATCTGTATGTATGTGAGTGTGTGTGTGTGTGTGTGTGTGTGTGGGTGTATGAATGAGACTTTATACTCACAATTTTGATTATAATTAAGTAATACTAGACTCATTCTAGTTTTTCTGCCTAGCTTTTTGTAACTTCTTTCTAAGGCAATAAGAAACCTGATTCTCATCATCTAAAATTTATTTGCTTATTTTTTCAAACTGGGTATACATGTAATGGTTTCAGAATTGCTAAGTTACGCCATGTAGGAATAAAGACATACCACCCAGAGGCCGGCACGGTGGCTCACGCCTGTAATCCCAGCACTTTGGGAGGCCGAGGCAGGCGGATCACGAGGTCACGAGATCGACACCATCCTGGTTAACATGGTGAAACCCCGTCTCTACTAAAAATACAAAACAAAAGTAGCCGGGCGTGGTGGCGGGCGCCTGTAGTCCCAGCTACTGGGGAGGCTGAGGCAGGAGAATGGCGTGAACCCGGGCGGCGGAGCTTGCAGTGAGCCGAGACCGTGCCACTGCACTCCAGTCTGGGCGACAGAGCAAGACTCCGTCTCAACAACAACAACAACAACAACAACAACAACGAAATACCACCCAGAATAAACTGTTTACATGTAGGTCTTTTTTGTTGTTGTTTTCTAAAGTTACTTTAGTTAGTTTCATTTTTCACCATATTCTTCAGTGACATTATGTCATGCATTTGTTATGTTCAATTATTTTGATTTGATCATTGAACAATGTATATGTGTATCAAAATATTGCGCCCCATAAATATGTGCAATTTTTGTGTGTCAGTTTTAAAAATCCAGTGATAAGGTTATTTTATCATTGTTTTCATTCTATTCTGGGATGCTCCAATAACTTGGTTGAGCTTTTTTTAACTTGCATATTAAAAAGTTCTCTGTATAAGGGATTTGGCAAAAACATGAAGAAGTCAGTATCCATCATTCAAATACCATACTTCCATCACTGTAATAAAACCCTGTGAGGATTCTTGGTCCTCCACTTTTCACTCTCAGAATACCTGGCAACCATGGATCTGTTTTTCATCCATACAGTTTTGACTTATATTATATAATACAAATAGAATTATACAATATGTAGCATTCTGAGTCTGGTTTGTTTGCCTTCACAAAATATATTTAAGGTTGTGTGAATGAATAGCTTGTTCCATTTTATCACTAGATAGGTTTTTATTTTATAGATATACTATAATTTCATTATCTATTCAAGGACATGTATATAAGGACACTTGTTTGATTCCAGTTTTTGATGATTATGAATAAAGCTGTTATAAGCATTCACATACAGGATTCCTTGTTGACATCATTTTTAAAGTCATTTTAATAATTGCCTAACAGTGAAGTTGCTGAATTGTGTGGGAAGCATATATACAGGAGTAAGTTAGCTCAGTAGACCTCAGTTGCTCAAATCTTGTGCAACTCTCAAGAAGGGCCTGTCTTTTGTTCTCCTCTAAAACCTACATTTTGGAATACTCCAAATTATAAGAGTTATTAGTACATTTGGGACTTGAACCATGCTATACCAATTTCTCTAAATAGTTTGTGCAATGTGATTTATGGTGAACACCTCCTGTCCTTCTGGGGGCCTAGAGCTTCATTAACTGCAGTCTGTCACTCAAGCACTACCTGCAAATGTGAACCCCAGTAAAAACCCTGGACTGCTAGGCTCAGGAAAACTTCCTTGATATGATAAATAATACTTTGCATGTTGTTGGAGGCATTACCTGTATCCTATTTGACTTCACTTGCAACTAGTTTCCATTGGATTTCATCCCATGCAACTTTTCCATTTTCTGTTTTGCTTTGTATCCTTTTCTGCAATAAATTGAAAATACGAGTATAACAACTTTTGAGTTCTGTGAGTTTTTCTGGTGGTGAATCACCAAAACTTAGAGTCGTCTTATAGACTCCAGCATGATACATTTTTAACTTTATACAAAACTGTCCATTTTTATTTCTGAGTGTGCTGTTTTGCATTTTGAACAGCAATGAATGAGAGCTTCTGTTTCTCCACACAATCACCAATACTTAACATAGCTTTTCTTTCCTTTGTTTCCTTTTTTAAAAAAGAAAATTCTAAGCAGTTTTTGCTAGTATCACATTATAGCCTTAAAGACAAATGTCTTTATCTAATGATCAATTACTCTTTAATGTCTTTGCATGTGTTTATTTGCCTACTGTATGTCTTCTTTAGTGAATTGTCTAGTTATTTTGTATAATTTTCATTAGATTAATGTTTTCTTGTTTTTGAATTTAAAGACTTCTTTATATGTTCAGAATAAAAGTCCTTTATCAGATATATGTATTCACAAATATTTTCTCTGGATCATTGGCTTTTTTTTCCGTTCTCTTAAACATGTCTCTTATAAAACCGTTTTTTAATAGTGATAAAGTTCAATGTAGTATTTTTAATGTATTATATTTTAATGTCATGTCCAAAAACTGACTATGGAGCTAAGATCACACAGATGCTCTGCTTTCTTTTTAATATTTTATATTTTTATGTTTTACATTTAAGTTTGTGATAATTTTTATTCAATTTTTTAAGTGGTTTGAAGGATATATATATACACACACACGCACGCACACATATATATACACATACATATATTTAAATATAGGCATCCAATTGTTCCTGCAGCATTTGTTGATTAGACTATTTACTGAATTTTCTTTGTACTATGTAAACTCAGATTGCTGGTTGTATTTATTTTCTTACCGATGTAGAATTCAAGTGGCTTGCTTCTTCAAGGACAACAGGAGAGAGGCTCTGTTCTTAGGAAGGAACTCAGCCTCTCTTTAAGATTTTCACTTGATTGAGTCAGGCCCACCCACAGTAGTCTCCTTTATGATTAACTCAAAATCAACTGATTTGGGACTGTCACTGAAACGTCAAAATCCCCTCACTTTTGCCACATTCTATAACCTAGATAAAAACTCATGGGCTCATCCACGCTAAAATATTTTAGGGCACGGCTCACTGGGAACAACTTTGTGGTGTGAGCACCAAAGTGAATTTTGATAGTCGGGTCTTCTGTGGAATTGTTCAATTTCATTTAAATTACCAAATTTATGCAGAGATAGTTGTTCATAGCATACCTTTATTATCTTTAATGGGTATGAGATCAGTAGTGGTGAACCCTCTCTCATTTCTGATATTGGTATTTTATGTTTTTTATTTTTCACCTCAGTTATCCCCGCTAACATCTTTGAGAGTTTCAAAAATAATTAGATTTTGGTTTTGTTGATCCTCTCTGTTTTATTGTTTTCAATTTTATTAATTTATGCTTTAATTTTTATTATTTGCTACCTTTTGTTTGCTTTAGGTTTAATTTGTTCTTTCTCTACTTTCCTAAGTTAGAGGCTTAAGTTATTGATTTTAGATTTTTCTTTTTTTCCAAAACATACATTTAATACTGCATCTCTCTCAGAACTGATTTAGCTACATCTGACAAGATTTGATAATTTGTATTTTCATTTTCATTAACTCAAAATATTTTTATATTTCCCTGGAGATTTTTTTTATCCATAGGTAATTTAGATATAAATTGTTTAATTTCAATATGTGTGGTACATCTTCAACAATTTTTTTGTTATTTATTTCCAGTTTAATTATATAATTGCTTGACAATAAATTTTATGTTTTCTATGATTGAAATTTATCAAGGTTTGTTTTATGGCCCATAATATGATGTGTCTTGGTGAATGTCCCATGTGCAGCAGAGAAATTTGTATTCTACTGTTGTCAGGTGGAATAGTGTATAAATGTCAACTAGATCAAATTCATTGATTGTGGTTTTCAGCTTATATATCCTAACTTAATTTCTACCTGACCTTTCAATTACTAAAAGAGGTGTCTTAAAGTCTGCAATTAAAATTTTAAAGTTTCCAACTATAATGTGAACCTATTTCTCCTTTCAGTTCTATAAGTTTTTACATGGTGTATTTTTAATCTCGGTTGTTAGTTATATTGTACATCTAGCATTGCTATCACTGCTCTGAATATTGACCGCTTCATGTAATATCCCTTGCCCTTGTTATCCCTGACATTATTCCTTATTCAAATTAATATGAGTACTTCAGTTTTCTCTTTATTAGTGTTAGCATAATATGTTTCTCCATCTCTTTACTTTTAACCTTTCTGAATCCTCGTATTTATAGTATGTTTCTTCTATATAGCACATACTTGTTTTCCTTTAAACCCAAATGACAATCTCTGTTTTTTGAGTGTTTATATTATTCAAGTTTTAAGTGATTATTGATATGATTGTATTAAAATATGCCATCTGATTGCTGTTTTCTATATGGTGTATTTTTTATCTTCTTTTCCTCTTTTTCAGCCTTCTCTTGTTTTAATTGAACATTTTTATGATTGCTCTTTATTTCACCTATTAATGCATTTTTAATGGCTGTTGTGGGGTCTACTATATTTTTAAATATTGTATTTCTTCCTTCAAATAGTATCAGGTCACGTTATGTTTAGCACAAATATAATGGAATTGTTCCAATTTTTTTCCTCTTTGTGAAATTGCTACCATTAATTTCACTTTTATATATACTATAAGCACCCAATTCATTGCTTTAACTGTATATTATCCCTTAAATCAATTATGTATTAAAATATTAAAGATTATATTTTACCTTCCTTGATTTATTTTCTGATGCCTTTCCATTCTTTGTTTATAAGTTTCTTTATGTCATTTTTCTTCTTCTTGAATACTTCATTTAAATTTTTTATTACTTAATTTTTTTTAACTGATACATAATGATTGTAATATTTATGTAGCATGGTGTGATGTCTCAATGCATGTATACATTGTATAATGATCAAATTGGGGTAATTACCATATTTATCATTTTAAATATTTACCACTTTTTGTGGTGAACACACTCAAAATTTTTCCTACTAGCTATCTTGAAATATACACTACATCATTTGCTATAGCCACTCTACTGTGTAATCGTGCAGAAGAACTTATCCTTGCTGTCTAAATATAACTTTGTACCTGTTGATCAATCTCTCCCAGCTCCCAGCTCCCCTGACTCTTCAAGCCTCGAGTAACCACTATTCAACTCTCTACAACTGTGAAACCAAGTTTTTTAGATTCCACATATGAAAACAAATTATCTGATTTAAAAATGGGCAAAAGACCTAAAAAGACATTTATCCAATAAACACATGTAAATGGCCAACAGATATATGACAAAATACTCAATATTACCAATAATCAGAAAAATTTGAATCAAAATTAAAATGAGATATCACCTCACCCCAGTTAAAATAACTATTATCAAAATGACAAATAATAATGTATGCTGGTGAGGATGTGGAGAAGAGACCTCACTGTTGGTGGGAACGTAAATTAATAAAACCATTATGGAAAACAGGATGGATCTTCCTCAAAAAATTAAAAAACAGAATTACCATATGATCCAACAATCTCATTACTCGGTATACATCCAGTGGAAAGAAAATTAATATGTTGAAGAGACATCTGCACTCCCATTGCAGTGCTATTCACCATAGCCAAGATAAAGAATCAGCCTAACTACACATCTATGGATGTATAAAGAGAACGTTGTGTGTGTGTGTGTGTGTATACACAAACATACATGTAAAATGAAATACTGTTGAGTCATAAAACGGAATGAAGTTCTGTCATTTGCCACAATGTGGAGGAACCTGAAGAACATTATGTTAAGTCAAATAAACCAGGCACAGAAAGCATACACCATATGATCTCGCTGATATGTGGAATTTGACTTTTTTGTACATGTTGGCTGTATGTCAGATCTTTTGTAGGAGAGTCTGTTCTTCACTTTTGAAGAATGTAGAATTTGGGGTTAACAAACTTCCCTTTCAACACTTAAAACATTTCAATCTTGTGTCATCTTAGTTGTGTGATTTCTGATGTAAAACCTGTTGTAATTACTATTGCTGTTTCTGTGTTAAGTAATGTACTTGATTTCTCTGTCTACCTTCAAGATTCTCTCTTCGTATTTGCTTTTCCGCAGTTTCAATATTATATTCTTGGGTGTGTTGTTGTTATTGTTGTTTATTTGGTGCGTATTTTTTATTTTTATTTTTTGGTATTTGTCTTGATTGATGTTTCTTGACTTTTCTTAGGTCTGTGGCTTATTTTCTGTTGCTAATTCTGAAAATATTTAGGACATTATTTCTTCAAATATTTCTTCTGCCTATACTCATTCTAATCTTTTGACATTTCTATTACATGTATTTCACATTATTTGGTCTTTTCCCTCAGTTTTTGAATCCTCTGGATTTTTAAAATTTATTTTTCTCTTTGTATTTTAGTTTGGTTAATTTCTATTGACATATATAAGTTCACTGAGTTTATTTCTTGGCCGTGTGGAATCTGGTGATAAACTCATCAAACGCGTTCTTCATTTCTGGTATTTTTTTTTTTAGCGACTCTTTAATTTTCTCATATAATTTCCATATCTCTACTGACATTATCCATCTGGTCTCACATATTGTCTACCTTTTACATTAAAACCTTTAACACACTACTCAGCTTTTTAAAATTCCCCTGTCTGATGATTTCAACATCTGTAGCCTATCAGAGCTTGGTTCTAATGATTCCTTTTCTCTTCAGAATCTCTAAGGATTCCTTCTCCCCTGTCTTTCCTTGTGCTTTCCATTTTTGTTGCTGCTGTTGCTGAAAGCCAGACATACTTCACAGGCTAGTAGATTTTGAGGTAAATAGACCTTTACTCTGAAAATTCATGTTAATCTAGCCAGGAGTTAAGCTGTGTTTGACTTTCAATATTACTAATGGTTACCAGTATTAAAGTTTCTTTTTCTTTTTGGAAGCAGAGCCTCATTCCTGTTGTCCAGGCTGGAGTGCAGTGGTGTGATCTTGGCTCTCTGCAGCCTCCATCTCACTGGCTCAGGAGATCCTCCCACCTCAGCCTCCTGAGTAGCTAGGACTACAGGCGCATGCCACCATGCCAGGCTAATTTTGGTATTTTTTATAGAGAAGGGGTTTCTCCATGTTACCAAGGCTCGTCTTGAATTCCTGGGCTCAAGCAATCGGCCAGACTCAGCCTCCCAAATTGCTGGGATTACAGGCATGAGCCACTGTGTCGGACAGTATTAAAGTTTCTTGCCAGGGGCCATCCAAACCTTCAAATTCCTCTACCTTTCTTGTTTGTGTCTTACATCTATGCTTTGAGTCTCCCCTTTGTGATGATGCTCAGTTATGATTACCCCGACTGAAATATTAGAGTACCCTCACCATGAACCCTGCAAATATTCTTGTTCCTTAGCTGCAGGAGATAATCCACCATTGTTTTCTGTGTATGTCCCTAAGGACCCCCACCCTGCAATTTAAGCTATTTTTCTTCTTAGGAGAAACTAGGCAGATAAATCAGGGCAGAGTTCCCAACCTGCACATTTAGGAATATGGAATAGGTTTTGGCAGTGGCTGCCTTTCCTACCCTTTTGCTAGCACCATGGGAATCCCTTTTCTGAATTTTCTCCTATCTTTTATGTGGGGTTCTAGAGGAATAGTTTGCGAAAAGGTAACCATCTCCCTAGGACTGCATCTCCCAGGAGCTCCCCACCCTCACTCTAGCCTACACCCATCCTTCAGCAGTTCCTCACAATTTCTAGTTTAATGTCTTGTCTGGCTCATATATAGTCTGACTGTCATTTACCCAGGAAAACAAATGCTCAGGTTCTATGTTGGCCTCTCTCCAGGTTTTAAAATGACTATCTGTCCTGTGAACTCAGTTCTCTGATGATTTCACGTAAGTCATTAATTTGCTGCTTGTGCACATTTTTCTTGTAAAGATGGGAACTTTTTTTATTTTTAAACATATTTATAATGAAACTCTTTATTTTTTATTATCTCTGTCTGCCTCTCTGCTATGATTGCAGATACAACCCTAAAAGAATCAGCCTTATCTCAAGAAAATTGGGCGACAAATTAAGTGATGTAATAAAAATCAGAGTGTAGTTACTCAGAATAGAGCTTGACTTGAAAGAGACTTGAAAACCTTTTTGAGATTATTAAAATTTTCTATATGTTGATTTTCAGGTGGTGGTTATGTAATGTCTGTGCACTCAGGGTTTATGTATTGTTTGCAATTTATACCTCAATAAAAATAATTAAAATTATTTTTATTGAGGTATAAATTAATAAAATAAAAATAATTTTAATTATTTTTATTGAAGTACATTCTAATTATTATTACTAAAAATAATAATTACAGAACTAATTATATATCTTAATCTTTATATGGCTTTTTGCATGACTATTCTTCACTATGCTAAATTATGTAGAAGCAGGCCTTACAAAAGTAAGTCTTGATCAGTAGGTGGCAACATTCAGTTAAAAAAAAACAAAAAACAAAACTGACATCTCTTTTTCCTCTGTCACCATAAACCGGAGGCCCAAACGTTAAAGGGTTGACTTCTGCTTCTACTACCTGCTATGGCAAGGAACAAACTGTGATCAGCTGTCTGGAAGGAGAAGGAGGATAACTTACAAAATCTAACATTAAGAATACTAGAAAAGAGAGCAAACAAATACGTACCACAGCTAGTCTGCAGACATCTCTTTTAACTGTATCAGTAATGTACAATATTTTCATTCCTATATTGTTTAGTGTAAATCGATGTTTCCATGATGAAAGGAATTCTGAATCTGTGCTTGGAGATTCAAAAGGAGAAAATGTTATCATCTGTTTATGTTAAGTGGAGATGTCAACCCCTCGCCACATTATTTCTACTGTATACTAGAGCCAGGCCTTTTAACATATTTTTGCTGTGTTTGAAAGTAGTGACTGTGTCCTGGATAGTTTCCTATGTTTTTGTATAAAATACATCTGAATATGGAATTTATTCACATGCCTAAAAATATTCCATAAATTTAAAAACCACCCTTCATTAATAACAAATTCTTGTATATCCTTCCAGTATTAATTAATATTTGTAGAAGTAAATCTAGAAATAAATTTTTGTCTCTAGTCTTTTTTTATATAAAAAACAGAAAATGAGATACTCTGTTTCCCACAGTTTCTTGACTAACACTATTTCTTGGAGAAAATTCAGTATCTTTCATAGTGTTTCCTCATTCTTTTCATTTTGCCATACATTTTATTATATTTGTTGATATACTATGATTTATTTAACCAGTTATCCATTGCTGGTAATTTGAGTTGCCGATATTATTTTTCTGTTTCAAACAAAGCTAAAATTAATAAAATAGTACATATGTCATTTCACATGTGTGAAAACATCCAGAAGATAAATTTCCAGACATAAAATTGCAGGGGAAACTATATATATACATGTGTAATTTTGATATATACTGCCAATTTTCTCTCCAGGACGTTTGCACCAATGTAGACTCTCAACAGTAATACATCAGACTTAGCGTTTCCTTAGTCTCACAGAGAGTCTTATCAACATTGGATTTTGTCAAATGGATAGATGAAATACTGTATGAAAAAGTAGCATGCCTTATTTTTTCTCGAGGTAGAATTTACACAGCGTAAACTACATAAATCTTAAACATAAGGCTTGTTGAATTTTCACATATGTATGAATTTTCACATATTTTTACCATGTCACACCACCACATCAAAACATAGAGCATTTCCAGCATTTTTAAATGCTCCTTTTGCTCCCCCTAGACAGTACACCTGTAAGGAAGACTGCTAATCTCTACCATCAAAATCTAGTTTTTCCTTTTTACACTTAATATACGTAGAATAAAATACCACTAGAATTCTGGAGTGTCTGGCTTTTTCCCTCAATCCCATGTTTATGGTATTCATCTGTGATATCATGTAAACATGTTTTTCATTCATTTTCATTGCTGTCATATCTATTATTTGAATGTATCTCAATTTATTCATCTTATGAATAAATAACACTGAAATTAATTTCCATTTTTTGCTATCAAGAAACATCATCTAGTCACTGCAGTATCTACAACCCACAATATTTATTGTTTTGTTACTCATAATAATTCCATTGAAACCATTTTCTGACTCATATTGTGATTTCCTCCTTGTCCATGAGTTACATATACGAGTACCTCAATTTCTAAGCATTTGGAGACTTTCCAGTTAGGTTTATAATATTACATTTTAGTGAATCCACATGTTCAAAGAATATACATTCAAATTATTTCAGATCTTTGATGTTTGTTGCTATATGCTTTACAGTGGAGCATGTTAATTTCAACATGTACTTGGAAAGACTATAATTTGTATAAATTGGATATGATGTTCTAATGTGTTTCAAATACACCAACATTGAACTGTTAATTTCTATATTTTTAATGATTTCTCTGTTTGCTTATCAGTTACTGAGAAGGCTTATTAAAATCTTAATTGTGGATTTTTCTACCTCAGCATTTAGTTCTGTCAAATCTTCATATTTTTGGAAAATAATTCTATCAGGTATAGAAAAATTTAGAATTGTTATATCGTATCATAGAATTAATATTTTAACCATTATGATATATCTCTGCCATTTGTTTGGCATTAATACTTGTCTGATATTAAGTTAGCCATCCCTGCTTTTGGGGGGTAATGTTTGTATGGTAAATCTTTTTCTATACCTTTCCTTTTAATATTTCTGTATCTTAATATTGTAAGTGGGTGAATGTTTTATAAGTAATATGTGGCTTACTTTTTAATTAATCAAATTTGACTATTTCTGTAGTTTATGTAAAGTTTAGAAATCTTACATTTGATATATTTTCTGGAAGACTTCTATTTAAAAAAATCGTATTTTAAAATAAAATTTTTCCTATTAGCATGCATAAACAGGTTTTGTGTGAATATATATTTTTTATATTTCAGAGATAAATACCTAAGTGTACAATTGCTTTGTCTTATAGTTGTCATATGTTTAATATTAATATAAATGAGCAAATCATTTTCCTGAGTTGTGGTACCATTTTACATTCCCACCAGCAATGTATAAGTGATATGTTTTCTCTGCATTTTCAATTGCATTTAGTGTTATAATTATTTAATGTTGTTACTGAAAGGAGTTGGGGAAAATGTACTAACCTGGTAGTTTGGAAGTGAATGGGGTTTGTAAAACCAAAGGCAAAAAGAATTGCATATAATAATTATAAAATAGTTGATAAAGTTGTCCCCTACAAAGATATGATGTTAATAACTCTGGAATCACTACACATGCATACTGAAATTGAACAACGAAATAATAAGTGGTGGATAGTGCAATCAGGATTCTCACTGTCGAAGTGGTGTGTGTTATAGATCAGCAAATGGAGGAGGTTAAAATGATCTATGTAGTAATGGATTAGAGGTGGAGACATCAGTATGAACTCATGTTTAGCTTAATATAGATGCTGATGGCAACATGTAATATATTTATAGATATGTGGAGATGGAATAGTATACATACATTGTTCTGTCAGCTGATGGGTATAAAAGCATTGACACCCCAAGGGCAACAAGCACACCTCACACTTAGCAGATGGTTTCTAATACCACTCCTCAATAAAGAAAATCAAGGTCATTGGAGAAATGTCTGATACTAGGACTGAGACATGAAATATATAAGGTGATCTGGGCACACCTTGCAGTCTCAGAAAGAAAGATAATACTCAAGGAAACACTGTGGGGATGGATTATGTCATAAACAGAGACACAGGAGCCAAATGAAAGAGATACCAACTGCCAAGACTAGAACAATTTGAGCAACAAACTAAATTACTTTGAGATTAAACTCCAAAATATACTATGTGTGTGTGTGTGTGTGTGTGTATATATATATATATATGTCATTATAGGCTCATCTCATTGATTTATATATACATATATATATTTATATACATAGAAGAGATGAGTCTATGATATAAATAACTGGATACAATATATAAATAAATACAGGACAATAGGCAATTTTTCCATGCAGAACAATTCCAAATACTATATATAGAAACTCCACCTCAAAGAGATAGATTGTAATTCCTCACTCTTTAAACATATCCTTTTCTTAGTGATGGTCTTCTAAGAAGTACAATTAAAAAATTGGAAATTTGGGTAATTAATCTGCAGGGAAATTGATGGAAAACACCCCAGCCAAATAATCAAGAATTGATAATATGTACCCTTGATAGGATATAATGAAAATTATATTTTAACTTCGCAGACTTCTCCACATCCTATAAATCTAGTCATGAGACAAACATCAAATAAATCTTAATTGAGAAATACTCTATCAAATAACTGGTCAGTACATTTCAAACTGTCAAGATCATCAAAAACTAGGAGAGTCCATGAAACTGTCACAGCTAAGAAGATTCTAGGGAGACAGGACTGCTAAATATAATGTGGTATCCCGAGTGAGATTTTGGAACCAAAAAAGTAAAACAACTTTAGAAATCTAAAAATGTATGGACTTCAATTTAAAAATGCATTAATATTGCTTTATTAATTATGACAAATATAACACATTAATGTGAGATGTCAAAAATAAAAAATTGGTGCAGGTATATAGGAACTCACTGCATTGTCTGTGCAACTTTTCTGTAAATATAAATCTATTCTGTGGTAAAATTTTGTTTCAAACAAAACAGAAAATATACCCTGCCTGTTGATGGCAAGAGTGTCAAACAATTTGTAGCCACATTTAACCCATCACACAGGTTTAACCCAAAGCTATGTCTTATGACCTGGATGCTGCCTTAGAGTCAAGTCCAAAAATTTAAACTAAAACAAAGAGCAATCATTAGCTGTATGTTTCATTTAAATTGTTTAGATCATCCTGAAGCAGATTTCTGTTTAATGCATTTCATACTCTCCCACCACTTATTCGTAAGTCACACATAGTTTCACTATTAACAAATGGTAAAATAATAGTAAAAACAATTAAAGCAGATCAATAAAATCAATGCATTCTAATGAATAAAGTTCAATTAATACCCAAAGCCTAATGCGGATTAAAACGTAAAATACAAAGTCAAGCCATTTCCTGTAATTCAATCAATTTATTATTATAATTCTAAAAATAACTAAAACTTATTCAGGTTGTTTGTCTCATGTACCAAACTTTCAATATGGTCATATGTATAAATAAAGTGAAATACGGCTCTCAGTTTCTAAATTATTTGGAGGCTTTTATTAAAACAAACTTAATTTTCAAATGTTTTACTTGGGACACTTATCTGAAATTTACCAGCTTTTTAAATAAGTTAATCTATCTCTACAAAAATAAGAAATGTCCCTGTAGTCTCACTAATCTGTCTCAGCAACAAGTTTTCCAATACTAAAAATATCCTCCTTTGGTAAGTAAATAAGGCCATGTAATTGTCACTAAAATTATTATATATGTGCATTTTCTACAGTAAAGGTCCTGTACATGACTATAACTGAAATATTCCAGGGAATAAATTCAAAATTATGTGATTATTTTTTATTCCACTAGCCGAAATGCTTTATTGTGTGTTCTCTAATTTATGAAAAAATAAATATGATGGAAAATAATTTCACTAGTTATTCTAAATATATTTGTCATTAATGTCAATTGATAAGTAATAATAAAAATATAAACCTAGCACAAAGAGATCTTTCACTAACTCAGAATTAATATTTTGTTTCCAAATCAAAGAGATTTTTAAATTTATAATATTAAGATAATTTTTGGCTATTAACTAAAATAAGAATCAGTACTAGATGTACTCAAAAATCCTGTCAGCAAACTTAAAACAAGCAAGCTATCCCCAGCCCCCATACCCTCTGTCAGGCTCACCTCTTCTGACTTTAATAGACAAATTCTATTTAATTCCACTTATTTTTGAAAAGCCAGTTACAATATAAAATCTTATTACTCATGTAAGCCTTTTCTGCTCATATGAATACTTTATTTTAAAAAGTGATAATACAAACACACTCACATTTGTTAGGTACTCCATTCATATTCTAATATAAAATAGTTTGTATTAAAAGAAACATTTCTTGGGCCAGGCACAGTGGCTCATGCCTGTAATCCCACCATTTTGAGAGGCCGAGGAGGGCGGATCACTTGAGGTCAAGAGTTTGAGACCACCCTGGCCAACATGGTGAAACCCCGTCTCTACTAAAACTAAAAAAAATAGCCGGATGTGGTGGCGCATGCATGTAGTCCCAGCTACTCAGGAGGCTGAGGTAGGTGAATTGCTTGAACCTGGGAGGCAAAGGCTGATGTGAGCCAAGATCACGCCACTGAAGTCCAGCCTGGGTGACAGAGCGAGACTCTGTCTCTAAAAAATAAATAATGAAAAAAAGAAACATATCTTGAATGACATACACTAAAGTTTGTTGTTCTTTTTGCACTTTTATTATTGTGTGTTAGTTGTAACAGACATTATATTAATTTTTATCAGATAAAAACAAAAGGCAAAACTGTCAGTTTTTTAAAAGATTTATTTAAATTATGATTACTCTATTTATTAACTTATTTAGGTTTAGTTGAATATCACTTATTGTGATATATCAGCTTAAGTATAAAATGAGGTTACAACTAGCTGAAACATATCAAATCTATAAAGGTCATAAGTTCATTGTCTTTTTCAAAGTAAAAAGTTCTCTATTTTAATAAGCATTATAAGATCTATTAATTGTGTTATTCCTGGAAAATCAAAATATTATCAGACTCCTTTATAGTAGCCTGATCTTAAAGGCAGCAGAATGTTAGAGATGATGAGCATTTACCCAAACACATACAGCAATTCTGCCAGCTAACTCCTAAAACTGACCCTACCAAATTTTCTAGGCTATGCTCTCTACAACTTCATGAAGACCTTAAAGCTCATATTTAGAAATTTTGTTGATAAAAATAACTATACTCTATGATTATAACTGTTCAATTATGTCAAGTACACATAATGATGCTGCAAACCAAATATGTATGCCAAGTACTTCCAGAAACATCCCCAAAGCTGCCTTATCTGGAGAAGAATGCTCTCCTCTTAAAGCTGAGATTTGAAAGTGGTTCCCTGTAACTTATGCTATTGCTAAATGAACTGCATATTTTTCTCCATAAATTGGTTTTTGAGGACTAAGACTCTTTTACAACTCAGCAATAAATAAATAAAATTATAAGACAATTAACTGTGGTTAATGAGAAAAACTACATTTATTTCAAGTGATGTGGGATTGACTAAAAGTCTTACCAAACTGATTGCTGAATAAGTAGTGATATTCAGTATGAATTGGTCTTATCAATATTATTGGTTCCTGACTGAAAAATTTGCTCTTATTTGAATAAATAAGGAAATGACTGGATTCATTCTTCTCTTTGTGTTAATTTCCCCTAGGACCCATTTTATCTATAACTTCTGGTGAGTTAGATAAAGCTCAAATATTTCATCTCTTTATCAAATGAGGTAGCTAAGTAGTTTTCCTGTGTATAAATAACCTTGGTGCCCTGATATAGTACAATACTATTGGTTGTTTCACAATGAAATTTCTAAAAAGTAATTTTTTAGCCATCACATTTCCAGAATAGATAGTGCCCAAAGTATCGTCCTGCTCAACTTATTAGCAAGCACATATTGCTTTTTACTTTCCCACCTGAATACATTACACAAAACATCAATAAAGACATCTACACTAATGAGAATTAGTCACCCACAATTCGAGACCCTTTCTATAACTGTATAAAATAATTTACACATACACAAGCTGGGTTTAAGCCTATATTACATATAATATTTTTAAATACTTAAAAACGATTTGAAAGTCCAGTTAAAATAATTCATATTGAATTAAAAGTAATCCAGGAGTTTTCATAGTTTCTCTAGTCATATTCACATCTCTAGAAATACAGGCTATTACAATGTTTTGAAAACTGACACAATCCATAGACATTTTCTTAAATCAATCCAATTACTGAATTAGAGCTCATGGCCACTTTATATGAGTTAAGTCATGTCTTTTATCAGTACTCTGTCCAGTCTGTCTTGCTGGGTCTAGACTGAGTTGGGTTTCTCAGATACATCGATGTGGAATAAGACAGCCCAACTGAGCAAACACAGTGTCCATAGAGAACTGGGCCATTTAGTCTTAAAACAGAAGCCCCATTTGTGTGTACAGAGAAAGGCACTCCTAAAAAAAAAAAAAAAAAAAAAAAAAAGGAACAGAGCAATTGTAGAACATTTCAGCTCAAGTGAAAAGGACATTTTTTTTTCAACCTGACAAACTTGATGGTTCTTTACTATACTACTAATGGAGTTGCTGCACTGTTCATAAATAGGCAATGTCAGCAAAATCACTCCAGAAAGGAGGATCTATTACAATCTGCCACTTCTCTTTACCTCAACTTATTGAAGAAAGGATTGATTGGTACTATAACAAATGGGCTTTTAACATATTGGAAGAATTCAAAAAAATACATATTTCCTGGATAAATCACAGCAGGAGTCTTAAAATAGTATATGAAATCATATAAGATAACTTTATATATTATAGAGAAAGTTTATTCTAGAACTACAATGACAAAATTATTAGGCATAGAGAACAGAAACTTGGGTTTAAGACAATGAGGATACCAATACCAATCTTAAGGATAAATAAATTGAAGAAAACACTCCAATTTATTTCAAAGACCCATATAATAATTGCCTTCATTCCAGTGCAGACACTGTGAGGTCCTTTTAGTGAAATTGAAAGCCAAATAGAAAATAGTCACACAAAATCAAATAGCACTTTGCTATCTGCTAGCAGCTCAAGGAGACTATGTGTTTTAATTACCCAAGCGCCTTGTTCTTTCAAATCCAGATAAGTACATTAAACCAATATAATAAAAATTCAGATTGTTGTAAAGTTATACCAATAGGGTCCATAAGCTAGGGCCCCCAAAAACTCTTTAAATGTAATTATAAAACTAATAATGTACCCTAGTGGGTTTTTTCTTCTATTTCTCTTTCTTTTTCTGTAATACAGCATGCCATTCATTCTTATGCAGACAAACAGAATAATCCCTCTTCAAACATACAGTTTTGAATCAGTTATATTAAATAGAGCAGGATAATTTTCATATAATTTTTATCCAGCTATAAAGGGACAATTATCTGTAAATAGTATGGGAGTGGATGCACTCCCATTTAGATGACAATCACTCTATACAGAAACATGAAAAGCAGAGTGTTTGCCAATGGAAGGTATGTGATAACAACAAAATTTCCAATAAAATAGTTTATCAAGAAATAGTTCAATTATCCAGAAAAATTCTGTCTTAGCAAATACTCATGGCATTTCATGATTTTGTGTAACATTATCTGATATGTATATAACCCTGAGTCATCTGACTTTTTTTTATTGTAGTATTTCCCAGGCTAAAAGCTGAAAACCTGATTGCATTTTTAGCCTGATAACTGACTCTCCTGTAATAATATAGTAATAAAGCTTCTGCTTATAGACCACCGACCAATATGCACAAGTATCTATGTTATATCATACATGCAGATACAAAAAACAAACATACGATAAGCATAATCCAGAAAATTTTAAGAGGAAAGGGGAGATAAGCTGAACTTATTTTAATTAATTCATTCAGAATTGTCAGGAAAGTCCAGAGTGAGCCATACAGATATTTGTGGAGCATTTCTATCAGAGAGATCAAGAAGTGCAAAGGCCCTGATCATATGCATTGTTTTGAGATGTATCAAGTAGGTCAGTGAATCTGGAAAGACCTGAGCAAGTAGGAGCATGGTAGAAGATGATCCCATCTATATAACTAGCTCATCTGGATTTTACTCTGATAGCAATGGGAAGCCATTGGTGCTTTTTGAGCAGACGGAGTAAATGACATGATATGTTTTGAAGGAAACTATTATGGATGCTCTGTGAGAAAAGTTTATTCTCTCTCTCTCTCTAGATATAGTTTAATATATAAGTAGATATGTATATGGTTACATATGTATTGGTGTGTGTATATAGTAGTTTTTAAAAAGTAATAAAAATTTAGTGGGTGTTACAGCAAATAAAAAATTTGGCATTATTGCTTTTAAATCAGAAAGTATTAAAACCCACACCTTATTAGTAGAAATGATGTCTTTTCAATATGCTATAAAAATGTATCAGATAATAATCACTCAAATAAATTATTATTTTTATTTTTATTTTTATTTTTTGAGACAGTGTCTCCCTCTGTCACCCAGGCTGGAGTGCAGTGGTGCAATCTTGGCTCACTGCAACCTCTGCTTCCCGGGAAGCCTCCAGAGTAGCTGGGACTACAGGTGCGTGCCACCACGCCCAGCTAATTTTTTGTATTTTTAGTAGAGATGGAGTTTCACCGCATTAGCCAGAAGGGTCTTGATCTCCTGAGCTCGTGAGCCGCCCCCCCTTGGCCTCCCAAAGTGCTGGGATTACAGGCGTGAGCCACCGCGCCAAGCCTGAAATTATTATATTTTTATTAAGGTACTGTGCTAGCTAAGATTTAAATTTTACCTTATTTTAGTAGTTAACATTAGTATCAAGTGACCCTTTTTAAAAGATGAATATTATCAATGTTATAAAAATGCAAGTGTTTAGAATACTGTAAACACTAGTTACATCAAATAAATAGATGAATGAAAAAATGAATAAATGAATGAACAGACAAATGCACAAGTGAGCAAATGGATTAATTAATAAATAATTTGTGGCATATGTTTGTTATAATTATTTTGTCATATAGATAAACAAATGATGCATTATGTGGTGACTTACTTAAGTATTGCGGGGCAATTAGTTGGAAAGAATTAATTTGTCTAATTTACATGCATTTACACTTAGAGCTTAGGAGAGTCTAAATACCAACACAGAAAACTATTAGTATGCTAAATTTGTGTTCAGACTCTAATTTACTGCAGAACACAAATTGAGTCACATTTTAGACCAAGAAATTCTATCATGTGGTTAAAAAGAAATTCTCCCACAAAGTGTTGTTTACAAGTTCTCACTTCAATGCATCTGGATAAACCAGAATGTTATTTGAAAGACTTTACTATGTCATGAGTCTGAAAAGCTCTTTACCTACTATAATAATTGAGCAATATGGATGTCTTAGTCCATTTGGCTGTATTTAAAATACAAATACCATAAACTGGGTAGATTGTAAACAACAGAAATTTATTTATCACATTTCCTGACTGGAAAGTCCAGGAAAAAAATACCAGCAAATTCAGGGTCTGGTGAGGGTTACCTTCCTAGTTCATAGATGGCAACTTCTTATGTGTCCTCAAGTAATGGAAAGGAAAACTCTGGTCTCTTCAGCCTCTTATAAATGCACTAATCACATTCATGAGGGTTCCACTCTCGTGACATAATCACCTACTAAAAAGGCCCTCTACTCCTAAAACCATCACATTGTGGTTTAGGTTTTACCATATAAATTTAGGGGAGACTCAAATATTCAGACTATAGCAATAGACAAGTAAATATTACTTTTTATTTAGTTTTGGTTAAATATCCATTTGGTAATATCTGAATACAACTACTCAATCTTCACCTTCTAATTTTCCTTCCCTTTATACCTATCATCCAGAAAATAATGATTAAATACCTATAATTCATAAAAAAGTTAAATTTTCAAAATGGAATTCATATAAATATATTATTAAATACAGAAATATTACTTTTTTATCAACTTATAAATTATAAATAAGATTATTATGCCCCATAAGCATTTAAATATACTTCTTTGCTTAAATATCTGTCACTATATACTATATTGTAAACATATAGAAGAAAATGCTATTTTTTTGCCTTTATATCGTCTACATTTTCAAATCACCTGACCTATGTTAGTAGCCTCATATTTTTAACACTTTTAACATATAATTTATAAGCCATAAAAATAATGTGTACCTCCTTTAAATGTGTACCATAAAGAATTTTAGTATACTTAGAGTAGAAAAACCATCACCACAAGCTAATTTTGAAACATTTCCATAATCCTAAAAAAAAGCTTGTGCCCACTTTCAGTCACTCTCTATTTCTACTTCCAGTCCTAGGAAAACACTAGTTTATTTTCTCTTCTCAGCATTGGCTTTTCTGGGATATTTCAAAAAAATGAAATAATACTATATATGCTTTTTGTCTATCTTTGTTTCACTGAGCAAAATGTTTTTGAAGTTCATCCATGTTGTTATATATATCAGTTCTTCATTCCTTTCTACTGCCAAATGATATTTCATAGCAAGAATATGCCATATTTTGTTCATCCATTCATCAGTTGATAAATATTTAACTTGCTTCCACTTTGCCTATTATAAATCATGCTGATGTGAACACTATTGTATAAATGTGTATGGATGTATTCATTTTCTTGGAGAGATACACAGGAGTGGACTCTCAGCCATATGGTAAGTCTATTTTTAACTGATTAAGAAACTGCCATAGTATTGTTAAAAATGGCTGTGCTATTCTATTTTTCCACTAGCAATATTTGAGCCTTCCAATTTTATGCATCTTGGCCAATACTTGTTAAAGTCTGTCTGCTCCTTATAAAAACCTTCAGCAAAGGAGGAACAGAAGTGTTCTTCTTCAAACTTATTATTAACATCTATGAAAAGTCTGCCAGTGACATCACACTTAAACATGAAAAATTGAATTATTTCATGCTAGTATCAGAAACATGGCAAGAATATCCTCTTCCATTACTTCTACTCATCATTTTACTAGAAATACTATCTAGTGGTGCAATCAGTGAAGAAAAAGGAGTCAAGGCATACAAATTCTAAAGGAAGAAGTGAAAGTCTTTGATTAGATGACTTTATCATTTTTACAGAAAATTAAATAAAATCTTCAAAAAAGTTAAAATAACCAAAAAGTGAGTTTGGCAAGTTAGCAGGATAAATTCAAAATTCAAAAATCAGTTGTATTTCTATAAGCTACCAGTGAAGAATTCAGTACTAGAATTTCAAAAATTGATTTACAATCGTATCAAAAATATAAAATACTCAAAGATAAATCTGACAAAGGATGTGCAAGAATTTAGTCTGAAAACCACAAAACATTGCTGAAAACACTGACGTAAATAATGCAAAAGATATACTGTTCTCATAATCAAAAGATTCCATATTGTTAACATATCAATTTTCCCCAAACTAACTTATAGATTTAAAGCCATTTCAATAAAAATTACAGGGGATTTTTTTTTTGTAGAAATTGCATAACTGATTTAAAGTCTTCAAAATTCATAAAAATACACAGAATAGAATATAGAACAATCAAAACAACTTTGAAAAAAAAAGATTCATGTTAGGGAACTGACTATGTGATATTGAAGCCAATTTTAAAGCTGAAATAGTAAAAATGTTGTGATATTGGCATATAGAAGAGATCAATAGAATAAAAAAGAGAGACTACATATAAGCCATCCATATATTTTCTGATGGTTACTTTTGTGTGTCAGCTTGACTGGGTAAAGTGATACCAAGATACCTTGTAGAACGTTTTTTCTGGGTGTGTCTATTTTTGATGTTTCCAGAAGAGATTAGCATTTGAATCAGTGGGCAGAGTAAAGTAGATCCACCCTTACCATTATGGGATCCCCCGAATAGAAACAAAAGGGGGAGGAAATGTGAATCCACTCTCTTCTTTAATTGAGACATCCACTTTCTCTTGTCCTTGGGCATCTTGAGCTCCTCGTTCTCAAGCCTTCAAACTTGGATTGAAGTACACAACTGGCTTTCCCAGTGTTCCAGCTTGCAAAGGGCATATTGTGGAACTACTGAGCCTCACTCATAATCACATTCACCAATTCCCATGACAAATCTCCTCCTATGTATTACATATATCCTTTTGGTACTGTTTCTCTGGAGAACCCTAACTATTACATAAATGAGGGTGAGGAGGCTGCTGTTATTGGGGGGTAAGGAGACCTTTTTGACTAGCAAAAAACCCAAACAAACAAAAAAATCTCATCAGAATTTAGGGGCTCGATGTCCCCAGCTGCATTGTCTTTCCATACACCTCCATCTCAACTTACAGGATCTTGTTGTTTCCCTTTCAATGACCTCACTTTAATAGAAAGTGATCCTCTAACCACATTCTTAGAGGATGAGAGTTCAACTTGCATAGTAATTCAGTCAATCACTGTATGAGTTCATGTGCTTGATTTTCAGCAATGTTAATACTGGGATTATAAGAAAGGGCTTTTCTTCAGGGCACACCTAAAATCTATGAAAGAAAAATAAACATTGGGGCCCCCAAATCACAAGCTAAAGGGAAAAGTCAAGTTGGGAACTGCTTAGGGCAAACCTGCCTCTCATTCTATTCAAAGTCACCTCTCTGCTAAGATAAATGCATATCTTATTATGCATTTGGAGAGTCTAATCAGGAATTCAAAAGAATGCAATCATTTGTCTTATCTACCTGTGACTTGGAAGCCCCTCACCACTTTGAGTTGTCCTGCCTTTCTGGACTGAACCAATGTTTATCTTATATATGTTGATTGATGTCTCATGTTTCTGTAATATGTATAAAACCAAACTGTGCTCTGACAACCTTGGGCACATGTCAGGACCTCCTGAGGCTATGTCATGGGCACACATCCTCAACCTTGGCAAAATAAACATTTCTAAATTAACTGAGACCTGTCTCAGACATTCAGAGTTCATATTTTGGTAACCACGGAAAGATTCTGAATAGAGGTACCCCTGACCTTTGACAAATTTTCTACTGGTGCTTGGTACCAGCATAAGCTAACTTTATGGCCAAAACCAATAGAACAATTTGCTGAGGTCTGGGAACACACCCTCGAGAGAATCCCTGAACTCCCAAAATTTCATCGAGATCTAAAATTTATTTTGCTGTACAACTCCCTTTGTTTTTGGAGATTTACTTGCTTCCAACAAGGAAGGCAAGATTTCCTGCTTCATGATGATGGAAAGCAAGGTAACTTCTTTATGGATTTTGAGCTTGCTCCCAGCAAGGAAGACGAGTTGAAGTTTTCTCCTGCTTCTAGGATGGTAGAGAGCAGTCTTCAGTCTGAGACCCACCCCTCGGTAAGTGGCTGAGTTAGGGTTTTGTGTTGGCTAAAGTTTAACAACCAGCTGGTCCTAATTTCTTCTTATCATCAGAGCACTCAGTGATCATATTGTTGGAGTTTTATTTGTTGTTGTTTTTTCTAGTCTTTCTCCCACTAGATTTGACCAACATTACCTGACTTGATTAAATCTATATGACAATTCCAAATTATGGTTAACAAAGCCTCTTTAATTTGGTTAAAATTCCTCGCATCTGGAAAAGAGGAAAAACAAACAATCAAAAACAAAAAGTATGTGCTTGGTGTCTATGCTTGCTTTCAGTCTCAAAAATCAAATGTTCTTTCATTTACTTTTCTTACACCCAATAACTTCTTCCTCCTTGGCCATCTGCAGTACCATAAAATCTAGAAAAGGCTTCTACTGACTCAAAACCCTTTAAAGAATCCAGAACAAAGGCACCACTCACCCTTTTAGGGGTGATGTGTTTTCTTTTTGGAGTTGCAAGAGTCATGGGCAAATTCTTCATAGGTCTAAAGGTCTGTTTTCCTGTATTGCATGACCTGGCTTCTTTGGCTTTGGGGTACTACAGATGACCTTGTACTGTGAGAGGACCTCTCTTTTGGAGAGGCTAATCAGAAACTCAAAAGAATGCAACCATTTGTCTCTTATCTATCTATGACCTGGAAGCCTTTCCCCTGTTTTGAGTTGTCCTCCCTTTCTGGACCGAACCAATGTTCTTCTTACATATATTGATTGATGTCTCATATTTCCCTAAAATGTATAAAACCAAACTGTGCTCTTACCACCTTGGGCACATGTTGTTAGGACCTCCTGAGGCTGTGTCATGGGCACACATCCTCAACCTTGGCAAAATAAACATTGTAAATTAACTGAGACCTGTTGCGATATTCAGGTTCACAAAACTCTTACACGATGCATGTAGTACATATTGAAAATTCACATCCGTTAGTTCATTCTTTTCTCAGCACTTGATCCTGTGACATTAGGAACAATTAACCAACGTCATTATATTTCTTAGTTTTCCCAAAATGTATGAAAGTGCCAGAAACAGAGTTACTTAACTTCCTGCCTCTTGAAAGAGATTGATTAGGAGTATAATGCAAATATTTTGTGTATCTGTATAAACAGTTTATGCCAGTTCTCTTTCCTAGTGGAATAGAATCTTGTAGTGTCTTCAAATTTAATCAGATTAGAGAGCCAGCTGCAGAAACCCCAAAGCCAATTCTAAAAATTTATCTTTAAACTTCTATTCCAGCTGGGCACAGGGGCTCATGTCTGTATTCCTGGCACTTTGGGAATTTGAGTCAAGGGATACCTTGAGGAATTGAAGGCTAGCCTGGACAACATAGAGAAACCAAGTCTCTACAAAAAATACAGAAATTAGCCAGGCATGGTGGTGTGTGCCTATAGTCCCAGCTACTGGGGTGGTGCTGGGGGACGCTGAGGTGGGAAAATCACATGATCCTGGGAGGACAAAGCTGCATTGAGCTGTGTTCATTCCACTGCACTTCAGTCTGGGCAACAGAGGAAGACCCTGTCTCATAAAACAAATAAATTAAAAAGAAAATAAAGTTCTCTTCCTCTGGAACTACTTCTGATAGCAAAATCTGTAGTCAGAATTCTCCAGAGAAGCAGATTCAGTAGAATATATATAGATATATAAATGAAGGTACAGAAGCAACTGAAAGGAGAAAGAATAGTCTTTTCAACATATACCACTAGAAAACTTAGAGAGCCACATGCAAATAAAAAAAGAAAGAAGACAAATTATCTCTATCCATTTCTTTTAATGTATACGAATACTAATTCAAGTGAAGTAGACACCTCAATGTAAAACCTTAAACTATAAAACTTCTAGAAGAAAGGAGAAAATTTTTGTTACATTGGGGTTAACAATGATTTCTTAAGTAAAAATCCAAAAAGCACAATCTATAAAAACAAAATTGATAAACTGGACTTCACCCAAGTTAAGAACTGCTCTTCTCTGAAAGACATGTTTAAGGCAGTGTAAAGACAAACCACTGGTTGGGAAAAAAATTTAGAAATTACATATCTGATGACATGGTTTGACTATATCCTCACCAAAATCTCATCTTGAATTGTAGCTCCCATAATTCCAATGTGTTGTGGGAGGGATCCAGTGGGAGATAAAAGAATCATGGAGGTGGTTTCCCCCACACTGTTCTCATGGTAGTGAATAAGTTTTATAAGGGGAATGGTTTTATAAGGGGAAACCCCTTTCACTTGACTCTTATTTTCTCTCTTTTCTGCTGCCATGTAAGATGTGCCTTTCGCCTTCCACTATGATTGTGAGGCCTCCCCAGCCACTTGGAACTGTGAGTCCATTAAACCTCTATTTCTGTATAAATTACTCAGTCTCAGGTATGTCTCTATCAGCAGTGTGAAAATGGACTAATACATCTGATATGCACTTTTACCCAGGATACGCAAAGTATTATAAATCAATAATAAGAAATAGTCAACTAACTTTAGAACGTCAGTGAAAGTGGAACAGAAAAAAAATGAACATTGTTACTAAAGAAGAAACATGGATGGCAAATAGCACATGAAATATATTAGATCACATGTAGCACTGAAACTTTTAACAATTTGAAAGGCAAGAAAGTATATTCTTTTATAATTGAATACTTGGCAATGTTTTTAAGTAATTTTTTAAAAGTTTTTATATTAATGTATTCTCTAGCAATATTACATTATTCTTGTTTATTATCTTATTCTTTGTATCAATTTTGGCAAATTGTATTTCCTTAAAAACTGATAATATGCACTGTTTTTCAAGTTTATGACGAAAAATTGTATAAATTATTTTTAGTTTAAAAATATCTAACATTATTTATTTATTTCAAGCCTTTTTATTTTATACATGTGCCTTACAATCAATATATCCAAATAAGGCCAGGTGTGGTGGCTCACTCCTGTAATCCCAGCTCTTTAGGAGGCTGAGGTGGGAGGATTGCTTGAGCTCAGGAGTTCAGGACCAACATGGCAAGACTCTGTCTCTATTATATATATATATTATTTCAAGATATAGATATATAATAATTTTACTTGATATGCTTTTAGTAATTTCTTTATTAAAATAGCATTCTAAAATATATATCAAAATGATTGTTTATTTTATGGTAACTTCAATCATATTATATTTTAATATGTGATCTATGTTGCAATAAAGACACATTTTTCTCAAAGAACATATCCCAATATTTTCTCATCTACAAATGAAGAAAAACAGAACTCACTTTTTAAAAAATGAAACATTATTAGCTTAGTATCTTCTTATAAACAGAGGTAACATCAATGACAATGATGTCTAAAAATCTCAGATTTTCTATTTGCAGTCTTAGTCAAGAAACTTCATTTCTTTTTGGCAAACAGATTTTAATGTATGTAACTAAAGAAAATTTTAGGTGGTAATTGTCACAGTCATCAATATATTGCAACACTCATCAAGATCTTATGTTAACATACTCCAAAATTTTTTTTGACTCAATATTCTGTATGAACAAAACACTCTCTTTCAAGTGAGTCATAACAGTTTTGGAAGGAAATCATCAATAAATTCAGAGCCTTAGGAGCTACTTTTGAATAGTATGCTATTTCAGAGTTAATGAAATCACTTACTATGCAGACAAAGGATAACAATTAGAACGCTAGGAAAAATGCCTCCTGTGAATTGCAATCAAGAAATCATCGTTTTTTCCTTTCTTTTTTTTGTATTGGTCTGCAAACTAAAAGAATCTTCTTATTAAGTTGTGTCCATATATTACACTCATTGAAAGTTTATGGCATTTATAATTTCTAAAATGTATCTTGAGTGATATTTTTTGTTTCTTCTTGGTTTAGCAGCTGAATTCTTTAATCATGAGGAAAAAATAGCATGCTTATATATTTTTTTCCTTAACAACAGCTCATTGTATGTTTTAATCTCTATTTAACAATACACTAATGGATAGAGAAAAGTGTCTGAGTCAACATGAATGTCGATCACAACAGTACCTAAAATTTCATAGTGTTATGCTAATGCCTTCTGTACCTATTTTATTAGAAAACTAGTTAACTTTTGTGAGAATCTAGATGATTTTTATAAAAGGATCCCAACTCAAATTGAGTAATAAACTAGACTTCAAGGACTATAGTTTACTTACAAGATAATATTTACTAGAGAAAGTTTGTAAAAATTGTATCAAAGAGCGTTTATTAGATTATTTAACACTTTATATTACTTAAATGTTTTGCCCAGTAGATCCAGGTGTCACAGACTTCCAGGATCTTAACTGTTACCTATTTTCAATATGTAATATGAATAATGTCCAAAACTTCCACGGTGAAGTAGTAGAGCTGGGCCTTTTTAATTAAATTATCATATGCTATATTTCAATATGTATAAAAATCACCAAACACTTTATTATTCAGGTTAAAATTTACATTAATTGCAGCAACCCTAAATATGGAAACTATTTTTGTGATTTTGGAACACAAATCTACTGGCTGAGTGCAGCAGCTCATGCCTGTAATCTCAGCACTTTGAGTGGCCAAAGTGGGTGGACAGCTTGAGCTCAGGAGTTCATGACCAGCAGCCTGGAAAAAAGTGAGACCCTGTCTATTAAAAAAAAAAACAACAACAAACAAACAAACAAAAGTTAGCTGATGTGGCAGCACAGCCTGTAGTCCCTGCTACTTGGGAGGTTAAGGTGGGAGGATGCTGTGAGCCCAAAAGCCTGAGGTTGCAGTGAGCCAAGATTGGGCCACTGCACTCCAGCCTGGGTGACAGAGCCAGACCTTATCTCAATAAATAGATGAATAAATAAATAAATAAATAAATAATAAAGAAAGAAAAAAGGAATTGGCTCTAGTGACACTATTCTATTTTAAAATCAGGACATGTGTCGCAACTTAACACTATTATCAACTAATATTGAAGGGCTTTAAATAACACATTTTTGAAGGGCGAATGAGTTTTGGTGAAAGAGCCGGAGTAATTTAATTGGAATCAACTGGTTCCATTAGTTACAAAAAAATAATTTATTATGACAACTTATTTTAAAATTACCTTTTTAAGTGTAATGTGAGAATCTCCACTGAAGACACATTTCAGTGTTTAGTACAGCCATATAAAAATTATTTAGGCTAAAACTTGATAGATACCTTTGAGGAATTTGTCAATTTACTGTTCTTCAATTTAATAAGGTTATGTATTAATGAATATTAGCAATGTCAGGGTAATAACCAACCTTATACAACTGACTTATAAAAATAATGTATATTTACCTTGTTGGTCTTTTTTTCTAATTTCTCTCCCATTGCTAAAGACTGAATTGCCAAGCAATGTTGTAATGAAAATGAAAGCCTCAGAATGTAGATGAAAATATTTTTAATTCCTTTTAAAACAGGCAATATTTCAGAGTTACCAAATCTAGGAAGAAAAATATAATAATCTATGATGTAAAATTAGCCTAATTCCATGTGAATATTAACTTATTTTATTGTTTCTTTGAATAGGTCATTATTTTAAGGTTAATAATTTTTAAATTTCCAAGAATACCACAGATATTGATTTTTCCCTTAAGACCCTCATTTGAAAGAAAACTATTTATGTATGATACTATTTATGTATGACAGTAGTATGGATTCTTCATACTACTGTCAGATCCAATTTACTTTTAAAATGAATTGGTGATTCAGTGTATATAATAGGTTCTATTTAATATAGTAATTCTATTATAAAAGGAAACTTCACAATGCCTTGTCTTCTCAATGCTCTGTAATCATTTTGGAAGTTTTTCTCGCTAGTATGTAAATTTTTCTTAATAGAACAGTCCCTATTAGTTCTGTTTACCAATAAGGAGCTTTAATTGAATTATTTGATTCTAAAATATCTTATGAAAATAAAATCCAGCTAAATAGGAAATGGAGGAAATTACATTATGTACAAAATCAATTACATGGAGATATAATAATAATTGGACCTGCATTTGTTACAACACTCAGGTCAGAGCAGAACAGCATCTGAGAGTCACTGAACATAACATAGCTTTCAACATAATCTCAATAATTTTTATTTCAAGCTTTATTCAGACACACAAAGAGTACTTGAAGCCTCTTAAAACATATAACATAATTTATTATGTGTGATTTCAGCAGGAAATCCTTTTATAAAATCAAGATAATAAACTATTTTCCTTAAAATTGTCTTCTTATGTTTGTGTTTATCCCATTAGATTATAGAAGACTTCTGCAGGAAAAAAAAAATATGGCCTAAATTTTATTGTATATATTTCACTGTGATATGGAAATTTATTTGTAACAATTTAGGTATAGCTAGCAGTCTCTTTAACCTCTTCACTTAATTCCTTTGTAATTCGACAAAATTTTAGTTGATATATTTCAGATGTTTAGTGAGCAGGCTCAGCAACACCATTTCACTTTACCAGCTGATATGGTTTGGTTGTGTCCCCACCCAAATCTCATCTGGAACTGTAGTTCCCATAATCTCCACATGTCATGGACAGGACCATGTGGGAGGTAATTGAATCATGCAGCAGTTACCTCCATGCTGTTCTCATGATAATGATTGAGTTCTCACGAGATCTTATAGTTTTATGAGGATCTTTTCCCTCTTTTTTCTCAGCACTTCTCCTTGCTGCTGCAAAGAAGGACGTGTTTGCTTTCCCTTCCACCATGATGAATGTTTCCTGAGGCCTCCTCAGCCATACTGAACTGTGAGTCAATTAAACCTCTTTTCTTTATAAATTCCACAGTCTCAGGTATGTCTTTATTAGCAAAGTGAGAAAGGACTAATACGCCATTCTGTATGGCATTTTGCTTATAACTTAATGCTTCATTGTTGAATGACTGAATATCAGGTCACAATTTTAACCATGTTTTCCTAGTATTTTGTCTCCCTAGCTATCTACTTATTTTTTTTTAGAGTAAAAATCAGATTTGGTCACAGTAAATTGTTAGTAAGGTATATGGGTTATATTTAATAAATGTTCAAATTAATACATGGATTTTATTTAGATTATTAACTTCTAAAAATGCCCAAGTATATTAAAAGAAACAGACAACTAAAAATTAAAAATATTGAAGAATTATAATTGTTAATATATGGTATCCTACTATTGAGTATTGAAGAATTATAATTTTTAACATAAGGTATCCTACTATTGGGTGTGTGTAGAAACAAATATTGGCAGTAAATTCCACTTGACAGACTTAATTTTCTAGAATATTACATTTGATAATATCAACATTGCATGAAAGATCACTAAATAGCATAGTAAATTTGGAACTAAAGAATGTAAAACTATGCTTTCTTGAATACACAAGCAAGACTTCAAAAAGTAAATAAAAGTGATTTAGCCTATTTGTTTTAGACAGAATATTTATGTCCTCCCCCAAATCCATTTATTAAACTCCAAACCCCCAAAGTGATGGTGATTGGAGATGGGGCCTTTGAGAGCTAATTAAGTTTAGATGAGGTCATGATGATGGGGCCCCCATGATGGGATTAGTTTCTTTATAAGAAAAAGAGTAGCAACCAGAGCTCTCCCTCTATGCCATATAAGGATGCAGCATGAAGTTGGCCATATACATGCCAGAAAGACCTCACCTGAACCCAACCATGCTGGCACCCTGACCTCAGACTTCCAGCCTCCAGAACTGTGAGAAATAAAATCTGTTTTTAAGTCAGCCCTTCTATGGTATTTTGTTATAGCAGTCCAAGCTTGCCTCAGACAATCTCTAAGTTTATTTTTCTTTAAAGTGAATATGATGTCTATACTTCATACTTGACTCTCAGGGATTCTGTTGAAATATCAAATTAGCTCATTGTGGTTATGATTTGCATTTCTCTGATGATTAACGATGTTGAGCATTTTTTTCTTATGTACATTGAAAATTTGCATGTCTTCTTTTGAGAAATGTCTATTTAGTTCTTTTGCCCATTTTAAAATCAGATTGTTTTGTTGCTATTGAGTTGTTTGAGTTTCTTATATATTCTGGAAATTAACCCAATGACAGATGCTTAGTTTGCAAGTACTTTCTCACATTATTTAGGTCGTGTCTTCATTTTATTGATTGTTTTCTTTGACATTCAGAAGCTTTTTAGCTTGATGTAATCCCATTTGTCTATTTTTGATTTTGTGGCCTGTTCTGTTAAGGCCTTATTTCAATAATCCTCACTTCATTTCAATTAGAATGGCTAATATTAAGAAAAGACAAAAGATTTAAAATGCTCATAAGAATACAGAAAAATAGAGATCACCTATTCATCGTTGTTAGGAATGTACATTAGTACAGTCATTACGGAAAACAGTATGATGTTTCTTCAAAACACTAAAAATAAAACTACCATATGATTCAGCAATCCCATTACTGGGTGTATAGCCAAAGAACTGAAATCAGTATGTTGAAGACACATCTGTATATCCATGCATATTGCAGTAGAATTCACAATAGCCATAATGTTAAATCAACTTACATGTCCATGTAATGATATATGAATAAGGAAAACGTGTCTTTTCAAGTAAGTATTTCAGCTATTTAATTATCTTATCTCTAGCAACCTTGCCTTCATCACTTCATTATGTAATGCCCAACCTCATTTTTACTAACCCTGTTTTCAGACTCTCCCTTTCCTTTAATCACCCAGCCTTGTTTCCACCTGAATTGACTATCCCTTAGCTAAGAGAGCCGGACAGACTCCATCTTGGCTCTTTCACTGGCAGCCCCTTCCTCAAGGACTTAACTTGTGCAAGCTGACTCCCAGCACATCCAAGAATGCAATTAACTGATAAGATACTGTGGCGAGCAATATCCACAATTCCCAGGAATTCGTCTGATTGATAATGCCCAAAGCCCCGAGTCTATCACCTTGTAATAGTCTTAAAGCCCCTGCACCTGGAACTGTTTGCTTTCCTGTAACCATCTATCCTTTTAACTTTTTGCCTACTTTATTTCTGTAAAATTGTTTTAACTAGACCCTGCTTCTCTCTTCTAAACCAAAGTATAAAAGAAAATCTAGCCCCTTCTTCAGGGTCGAGAGAATTTTGAGCGTTAGTCATCTCTTGGCCACCGGCTAAATAAACGGACTCTTAATTCATCTCAAAGTGTGAGTTTTCTCTAACTCACTCAGGTACAACAATTACTTCAACCAGATAAAACTACTTATTATTTTTTAAAAAATATGTTCTCTCAAAGAAATTGTACTGTCAGATTTTCCATTTACATACGTGTAATTTGGGTCCCTTGAAGGTGGATTGGATGAGTGCTAATTTATCTACTCTTCATCTTCACTTGGTTTACCAAAGGGAAGTGTGAGTGATCATTAAAAGGTAAACATGTTTTTTGAAGGAGTTAAAAGTTAACTACTCTCAAAATTGGAGCAAATAACTATAGAGAAAAAGTGAGACCAACTAAATTTGATTAATGCAGAAAGAGCCAGGAAAGGAATAAAATAAGAAAATAGTAGAAAAATATAGTAAAATAAAAATAAATAGAAAGCCATAGATGTGTTTTAGATGTCCTCAGCTTACTCCTTCAGATTTACTCTCTAACTTTCTCATCTTTCACTTTTTCTGGGCATGGAGAATCTTGTCTGTATTCCCAGGGTATCTTTGTTAAACCAATGGAAACCATGCCAGTTCATTAGAGACAGGCTAATTTTATCGATTGCAGAATGTTGGATATGCAATAATTGTCCTCACTGAAATATGAGGGTTTTCATTTCAGTTTACTATTCACAAGACCTTTTCTAGCACCAGCCTCCACTGATTTACTAAATGTCTTATACAACATCACAATATTCCATTATTTCTTTGAATACCATAATTTACTGTGTAAACAGTAAGAAATTAGCTAAAACCTAAGAATTTCACATCTTTCTATACCATCTATTATAAAAAGAAATTTATCTTAAAGTAGGTCAGATGCACTGTTGAAGGCTAATTTATGATGAAAACTATTAGACAATATCTTGCAAAATTGAGGTGTTAATCTGTCCAGTTTTTTTGTTTTCTGTACCATAAACAAGAATATATAATTTTCTTCCATAGGCATAATATATAACTAGTGTATAAAATTTTTGTTCAATATTCAGTTAGGCTTCATTTACTTGGTGATGATGGATACTTTATATAAGTGACCAAAGGAATGAGAGAAAAACATTTGTTAAAATGCTCTGATATGGTTTGGCTGTGTCCTCACCCAAATCTCATCTTGAACTGTAGTTCTCATAATCTCCATATGTCATGGGAAGGACCTGGTGAGAAATGAGTGAATCATGGGGTCAGTTTCCCCCATGTTGTTATGGTGATACTGAGTGAGTTCTCATGAGATCTGAAGGTTTTATTAGCATCTGGCATCTCCTCTGCTGGCATTCATTCTCTCTCCTGCTGCTCGGTGAAGAGGTGTCTTCTACCATGATTGTTAAGTTTACTGACGTCTCCCCAGCTCCTTGGAACTGTGAATCAATTAAACCT